>NC_000016.10:62138257-62441288 GCF_000001405.40 Homo sapiens
AATTCACTAAGAGTATATTTCAAATGAAGGCTGCGCTTTTCTCTGCCCCCTGTTTTTGGAGCATCTTCTTTGTAAGCATTCCAATTCCCTTGTATGGGTTAGTGCCACTCTTGCTGAGGACATGTCATGCCCATCATTGCACATTTCAACCAGACTCCCCAGATGAATTACAGTCGGACTTTCCATTGGCTACATGTCAAAAGCAAGCTACTCAGGGTCAACTTCCTTGAAACGATCTGCCAACTGGTCTACTGGCCTCCTTAACACAAGTGGAATTACAGGAATCAAAAGAGAGGATGAAGGTCAACATCATGGGCTCCATTTCCTTTCAGGGCATTGCTTTTCACATCCTTCAGAAATCTTTCACACCTTCCATTCTAAATGGAAACTAAGTAGAGATAGATTTACACTGTTAATATACTGACCACTTCATTCATTAGTTCCAAAGATGCAATCATTCGAACGATTTATAAATACCAACCATTTTCTGTTACTATGATAAGTTTCTTTTGTCTTATTGAAGTGAGATAATTACTTCCTTATATGGGATATGTACCTCTCTGAATGCTACTGAAAACCATTGCATCTGCTTTTTAAGCAAATACATCCCATTCTTATCTCATATTGAGCTTACATTCACCCAAAAAAATGCTCTTTGATATTTCATATGAATGGCTGTTCACTCACATCTGGTTCATCTCAAATAGATACTTTTTCCCCCCTAAATGTGTGTTTTGGACTATACATTTATCGGTGTTAAATTGGATCACTTCAGCTTGTCAAGATTTGATATTTGTCATGTAGTGTGTTCACTATCCATTCCAACTTCAGTAATCTAAAATATCTAATATGTGTACCATTCAAGTCGTTCATCAAAAATGGAAAAGGTTTGAAAACAGAGTCTTTTAGTTTACCAATGGAAATTAGCTTAGAGGGGCATTGGTGCACTAATATGTATCCTTTAGATGGCTGGCTATATACCTAATGTTTTTAAAACTTACTTTGTACCAGGCTCTATGATAAAGTATTATTTCATGTTACCCTCACAATATTGCAATGAAGGAGGTGTTGTTGCTTTTTTTTTTTTAGTAGATTAGGAAACTGAGGCTAATGGACATAAAGTTACTTTTAGCAAGATCACATAAGCTAATTAAGGTAAGAATATATTTATCCAGGTTTTTCTCCTACTGCTCCTTGCACTTTACACTCCAGCTGCATCTAATTGCTTATAGTCACTCTCCACTCCGGGATTTTTTATAACAGTGCTTTGCACATGCTATTCCCATTTTCTGAAGTGCCTTGCACTTTTCATTGTGATTTTTTCAACAACAATCTCCTATTCTGCCTTCGACACTAAGTTCAAGTGTTTTTTCTTTATCCTTGTAGCAGGAATAAAGCCTATCACTCTGAAGATTGAAAGATATTAATATAATGCCGCAATGCACTAACTACAATTTTATTAAATAATGCTTATTATTAGCATCACCGCATTTTATGTATACCTCACAGCATTACTTGAGACATTTGCTGTTACCCGTTTTACAGATTTTTTTTACAAGACATTGAAGGAACTGTGAAAGGCCATACGGATAATAAGGGAAAGAGACCAATAGTTTTGACAATTAGAGATAGTGCATTAAGTACTATAAAGACCACTGAAAAAAAATCCAACTCCTTACCACGGTTTACTGGGCTTTGTATCAACTGGGCCATTCCCATCTCTTCTAGTTCAATTCAGACTTGCCTTCGACCCCTGACTTACAGCACTTAGCCACTGGCCTTCCTAGAATTCTGCAAATAAGCCTAATTGGTTTTCACATTGGGGTTCTCATCCTTGATGCCTCTTCATTCTGGTTGTTATAGTTTCTTCCTTTCCTTTCACCTGTGTCTGCTCAGTTGCTAGCTTTCATGAACATTTTAGTTATTTTGTTAATTGCCAAGTAGTATCACATCACTCCGTTTAATTTGCTTCACGGCAACCACACGTATCTCATTTACTTATGGTTATGCACTTTATGGTCTGTTTCCTCTCCAAACATGAACGCTCTGTAAGGACAGGAACCTTGTCAATTTTATTTGCTACCATATGTTGAGGACAATATATAGTATGTAGCAGGTGTCTACTACATTTACATTGAATAAACAAAGAATAAGGTGTTAAAGAATCACGGTGGGGCAGGCATCTAAATCTTACAAAGAGCAAGGGAAAGTTTTCTGGGAAGAGGCCATGTCTTAGCTCCATCTGCCATAACAAAATACAATACACTGGGTGGTTTAACGGCAATTTTCTTACTGTTCTGGAGGTTAGATATTTGAGATCAGGATGCTAGCATGGTTGGGTTCTGGGAAGGTCTCTCTTCCTAGCTTGCTGATGGCTGCCCTCTCACTATGTCCACACGATGGAAAGAGAAAAACTGCAAGACCTCTAGTGTCTCTTCTTATAAGGACATAAATCTCATCAAGGGAACCAGGCCAGATGCGGTGGCTGATGCCTGTAATCCCATCACTTTGGGAGGCTGAGGTGGGTAGATTGCTTGAGCCCAGGAGTTTGGGGATCAGCCTAGGCAACATGGCAAAACTCCATCTCTACAAAATATACAAACATGAGCCAGGTGTGGTGGCATGCACCTGTAGTCCCACCTACCTAAGAGGCTGAGGCAGGATGATCATTTGTGCCTGTGAGGTTGAGGCTGCAGTGAGCTGTGATCATGCCACTACACTCCAGCCTGGGAGACACAGCGAGACCTTGTCTCAAAAAAAAAAAAAAAAAAAAAATTAGACAAATAAAATATAACCCTACTCTCATGACCTCATCTAAATCTAATTATCTCCCAAAGGCCTTCTGTCCAAATATCATTATATTAGAGGTTGGGGTTTCAATATATGAATCTTGAGGGGGCAAAGTTAAGTTCGTAGCAGGGCATGATTATGCAAAGGTAAAATAAGAAGGAGTTAACCCAAATCTTGGAGGTGGGAATGCATAAATCACTGGTTTGAAACCATGGGAGATTTTGCTGCCTTTTCTTCTATCCCACATTGTGGAATGTGTGACAATGTCTGGAGACATTTTTGATTTTTGAAACTTGGAAGGAGTGCTACTGGCATCTACTAGGTATAGTCCAATGATACTGCTGAGTACAGAGGACAGTCACCCACAGGAAAAATTTATCTGGCCCAATAGTGTCAAGTTTGAGAACCCTGAGCAAAGACTGGTGACCTTTCCTCAGCAGTTCTCTACCTCCCCAGCCTTTAATGTGCATCTCTTCTCGGTGTTTTCTCTCTACTGCTCTCAGTTCTCTCTTGCTGGCCCAGGTGGCTACTTCCACCCCACGACAAATTGAAGTCTTCCGTAGAGTTTCTGAACTCCAAAGCTTCCTATCTTTCTTGGAAAAGCTGCAATCAATGGTCAGCCTTGCTCTGGCCCAGACTAGTAGATCTTAGAGCTGGAGAGGGCTGAGGTCACACATTATTGTATTAGTCAGGGTTCTCTAGAGGGACACAACTAACAGGATAAATGTATATAGGAAGGGGAGTTTATTAAGCAAATTGACTCACACAATCACAAAGTTAAGTCCCACAATGGGCCTTCTGCAAGTCTAGGAGTCAGGAAGCCAGTCCAAGTCCTAAAACCTCAAAAGTAGGGAAGCTGATAGTGCAGCCTTCAGTTTGCAGCCAAAGGCCTGAGAGCCCCTTGCAAACCACTGGTGTAAGTCCAAGAGTCCAATAGCTGAAGAACTTGGAGTCTGATGTTCAAGGACAGGAATCATCCAGCACGGGAGAAAGATGAAAGCCAGAAGACTCAGGTAGTCTAATATTTCCAAATTCTTTTGCTTGCTTTTTATGCTGGCCCTGCTGGCAGCTGATTAGATTGTGCCCACCCAGATTGAGGGTGAGTCTGCCTTCCCAGTCTAGTGACTCAAATGGTAACCTCCTTAGGCAACCCCCTCACAGACACACTCAGGAACAATACTTTACATCCTTCAATCCAATCAAGTTGACACTCAATATTAACCATCACGATGATCAAGGAAGTAGGGCTTCCTGAGCAAGGCATCACATACTAACTAAAGAGTGTTAAAGAGCACTCAGATCCCAGATGCATGGACTTGGAAGTGCAGGCTGAGAAATCACTTGGATTCTGCTGAAGCTGGTACATAGAGTATCCTCTGTACTTCATCTGTCTGCTCATGTCCTCCCTGGTGAGTTCAACAACCCTGAAAAACTAGAATTGGCTCAATTTGACCAACTCAGCAATGCACAAGTACCAAGAGGGTTTTTTTTTCTCCTTTTTATTTAACTTTCAGGAAACCAACTTCAATGAGATTTTATAGTGTCTTGAAGCCTGGGGACTCTCCTCCCCCAAATACTGTTGTCTTATAAACCCTCCTAAAAGTATAAAACAAAAATTGATGAATTCCAACAAATTGAGCTTCCTCATTAATAGCAGCCTGGTAGAAGATGCTGAGCACAATTCATTTCTAATGATTTAATTCTAATTAGTATTTATAGCTATAGTTTAATTCCAATAATGCACTATTAAATGAGTACAGAAATGTATTTATTGATTCATTCATGAATAGCACAACATCATATATTCAGATGCTGTTGAAATAGCTAGATATATACCCACACATTTTCTACATTTTTCTCACATTTTTTGATTATGATCCTTCTTTTTTACGTTTCATACTGTGATAATGAGTCTTTTAAATTGCTATTTGTAATAAATTTTGGGTAAGATTATTCACTTTTCTTTGTATTTTTTATTTTATGCTCTGAGTGCGGGAACCTACAGAGAGCTACAAATTGAAAGAAACAAACATTTCAGAGAAAACAGACCTCCAGAGCTTTAGAAAGAGCAAGGAATTGACAATTTGAAGGGCTTCAAGTATGCCAAGTAGCCATCATAACTCACTCCACATTTCGAAAGGGAAAAAGCAAATCAAGATTTGAAAACTTTATAGTCTTTTGTTTAGTGAGAATGTGTTCATTGTGTGTTGGCTATAATTATTGTTAACATTCATTTTAAGAGCAACTTACTGATCTCTCACTGAAATTCCTCATTTATAATGAGAAAAAATATTTCAACTCAGCTTAATAAATGAGGATTGGCAGAATTAAGTGAGCTATCCAATATCTTAAGCTTGTCAGTGGCAGAGCTGGGATGGGAGCACTATTGTGCCTCAACACTTCTACCAAGACTTTTTGCACTATGCTCTACACTCTTGAAGGACATACGTTAAGAATAAATAACTATTGATGTTCGAAAGCAAAATTATGCCGTCATTCTTAGGGACAGTTTATTTGAGAGTCTGGTTTTATATAGAATCTGGGAATGTCAAAATTGAAAGGATGCTTAGAGGTCACATATTCATAGCTCTCAATTTCCTGAATTAGAAAACAATGTCTGGAGTGGAGAAAGCATTCAAATGCCACAGGGATTCTCTTTTTTCATCTCAAAATTACATGATTATTATTGTACTTTTTAAATTGAGAAGAAAGTTACTACACATCATGAGCAGAAATGAAATTTATAAGATGAACAACCAGAGATTCTACCAGTTCATGAATAAGGTGTGAGCCATCTGATCCAAGAGTTCTTTCTCTCTTCTTAGTTTAGTGTACTTTTAGCACAAAAGCATTGGTTCTGCTTGTTGCTTTTTTAATACTAGATTTTACCTACAATCTCATTATTGTATTTTTTAAGTGTAGTGCAGCTCTAACTTATTTAATTTTCTTTAAGCAAATAAACATAGTTTAAGATGGCTTACAGACATTCATATATCTTACAAAGATATCCTAAATGATCTAGAGTGGTAAGAAATACAAGGCAAAAGGAAAATCAAAGTTTATTTTTTGTAAAATCATTCTTCTGAGTGTTGTACTTTGTTACTTTTCTTTGCCTTTTATAATGCATTTACACTTCTTATATAAGCTATTGGATGTATATTTTAAGCTACTGTATAATCATTCAACTTTTCAATCATAATTTTCTGAAATTTCACCGTTTTAAACAAAAAGATGATTCATGCTATTATTTATAAATTTTACTGTATTTCATCTTTAAAAAAAATAACACACAATGGTAATAATACCATTCTTGAAGCAAATGATTGAATGTGCTAATAATAGTAATAGTAAAAAGAATAGATTTCATAGACTCAATTTTCTAGAACTAGTGATGAAGATTATTAATCATGATTAAGCAATGAATACTCACAATAATGCATAATTTAGAGTCCTGGTCTTTGCGATTTTAAGTTGCTCAAAAGTGCTCAAGAACATAGGTAAAATTCCTGGAAACAGAATTCCTGGAAATAAAAATAATATCCATCCAGCCATCCTTTTTTCCTGAAAATGAAATTTTTCATAAAACATATAAACTAGATGTTGTCTTTTTGTAAATATTTTAGCAACATGTATGTATGTTAGATTGGAAAATAGAGTTCCATTTGCTGAGTGAAGACCTCGGAAAGAAAAGGAAAGTATGATCAGTGGATATTTAGTGACCTAAAGAAAAGAGTGATCAATTGCTTCAGGAAAATAAAGAATACTCTCATATTTTCTCCATGTTCTTTTCATGGTAGCTTGGTGTAGTATCAATAGTATAGATTTGGCATCAGGCAGAACTGAGTATGCTAAGTGACACACTAGCATTCTTCCTGTTCCAGGAACATGCCAAGCTTGTCCCTGCCTCTGGGTCTTGCGCTTGGCAGTGGCTCTATTTTGAATGTGATTCCCTGTGACCTTTTCAAGCTTGACTCATTACTATGAAAAGTTCTGCTTAAATATTCTCCCTTTGTAGAGCTCTTACTGAACGAACCTCTCTGAGGTAGACTTCTATGATGGTTGATATTAAGTGTCAACTTGATTGGATTGAAGGAGGCAAAGTATTGTTTCTGGGTGTGTCTGTGAGGGTGTTGCCAGAGGAGATTAACATTTGAGTCAGTGGACTGGGAGAGGAAGACCCACCCTCAATGAGGGTGGACTCAGTCCAATTGGCTGCCAGCATGGCTTCAAAACCTGGCAGAAGAAGGTGGAATAAGCTGGCTTGCTGTGTCTTCCGGTTTTCATCTTTCTCCGTGCTGGATACTTCCTGCCCTTGAATATCGGACTCCAGGTTCTTTGGCCTTTGGACTCTTGGACTCAAACCAGTGGTTTGCCAGGGGCGCTAGGGCCTTTGGCCACAGGCTGAAGGCTGCACTGTTGGCTTCCCTACTTTTGAGGCATTGGGAGTTGGACTGAGCCACTGTTGGCTGTCTTGCCTTCAGCTTGCAGGGATCACCATGTGATTGTGTGAGACAATTCAACTTAACAAACTCCTTTTCAGGTATACATATATCTCATTAGGTCTGTCCCTCTGGAGAGCCCTGACTAATACAACTTCCTACATACTTTGTATCAGTCAACCCTGTAAATTTCCATTGCCTCCATAACATAAAATTAGAGAAATACCGGCAAATAGTTTGTGAAACACACTTTGAATAACTATATAAACATCAGCAATTTTCTCTGTGACATAAATGTATTAATACTGCTTCCAGTCATGTCTAACTTACCTTCATAAAGTAGCCTAGGTACTTAAATAATCTGCCTCATTATGTCTTAAAACACCTGAAAACTCTTTTAATTGTATTTTAAAAAGAAAGGTTTAATGCAACTACCAGCAAGTCATTTTATGCAGCACCTGAACACCTAAGGTGGATCTAACAGACTAATGTGTACATTAATCCATGATATCACATAAGTAAAATGAAGTGGTGCATTTGCTATTTATGCTGGAAATCTGTGTGTAAACAATTCAATGTAAGTGCAGGTGATTGATCAATAAAACATCACTGATCAAGCTGGCTGCATCTAAATTTTTGCTTAATCCTGCTGGTTTAATTTGGTTTGGTGGTTTTTTCCCCCCTTTCTGATGTTGTTTTCACCTGAGGTGGATAAATATATTATGCACGGGAAAAACGAGCAACGTAAATTTAAATACCTGAAACAGGTGAGAAAGTTGTTCAGTTGCTTTCAAATATTGTGCTTCTGGTACCGAGAAACATAAAAATAACTTCCCAACCACAGCCCCAGAGAAAAATTGTCTTTGCCACTTTAAAACAGTCCATCTCAAAAGAAGTTTGAGCCGATAGATTAATGTATTCCTTATTTTTCTTTATTTTTATTTTTTGACATGGAGTTTTGCTCTGTCACCAGGCTGGACTGCAGTGGCGTGATCTCAGCTCACTGCAACCTCTGCCTCCCAGGTTCAAGCGATTCTCCCGCCTCAGCCTCCCGAGTAGCTGGGATTACAGGCTCCCACCACCATGCCTGGCTAATTTTTGTATTTTTAGTAGAGTGTTTCATCATGTTGGACAGGCTGGTCTTGAACTCCTGACCTCAGGTGATCAGCCCACCTCGGCCTCCCAAAGTGCTGGGATTACAGTCGTGAGCCACCGCATATTCTTATTCATTGTCACTATGCTTGGAAAAATTACACATAAAGTATTATTCAAATATATACAAGTACCAGAGTTTGTACAACATTCTTGTAGGTAGAATAATACTGAACAATAATCTTTTGTGCAGGGGAGAAAAGTGTAACATTTTAGTAAGTCAGGTGGCATTGACAGCTGAACAAACCATCAAATTAGTCATATATCTCATGGCACGTGTCTACCACAACAGACTAGTTTGGATTTTTCCCTTCCATAATTAATAATTTGCATCTAAATATGATATCTCTTTTTTTATGTTGATGCCTTTTAAGGTTCAAAGTTGCTTCATGGTGCAGCGGGAAAATATTACTCAAAGAGAGAAAGTTAAGAGAGGAAGTCTGTCTTCTACACATTAGGATCCCTGTGTGTTTCATCGTTTTTAATTTACTAATAACAAATATCAATACCTTTCTCTTTTATTTTTGAAAAGAAGTCTCCATAATTTAAAATTGAGAGGAAACAGGTAATTTGCAGACTTTTCTGTCTCTTGTCTGTTCTAGTGCTGCCCAACAGACTATTATGCTTCTATAAACCCAGGACCTAGTAAAATAATCTGAAAGCACAAATGCAAATTGATTAAATGCAACAACAAATAAAATAAACACTGTTCTTTTACTTAATACATCATAGCAAGTGACACATAAAAATGTATGAATTCAGAATTTTTAAAACCTATATAAGGAAATTCTTATAAGAATTTAACTTTAGCCTAAGTGCTTATTATATGTGAAATGTGATCTTTATCTGCTGTGCAAAGCTTCTAGAATTAGCCATTACTTCCGTTACTTGTTCTGCACTTAAGCAGTACTTTTTCCCTAAGTATTCACTTAGTTTTTCATCAGATTTTTTAGTTAATTTTAAAACACAACAGTTTTCTTTCTGTTAATGTGTCAGGTATTTTAACATTAACAAAACAATCACATTGAAACCATATACAGTGTTTAAAATATTATAAAAGCTAAATAAGTTTTAATAAGAACATTTAATAGAATATTACAGAATCCTAACAATTATGTTTCCACAGGATTATAGAAATCTGAAAAATGCTTACATATAATATTACATGTACTAGAGATTTCAATATAATAAAAATAATATAATTGTACAAGTATATAAATATACAGAATATATAAATAGATACTGAGAGAAAGAGAGGAAGAAAGCAAGACAGACAGAAGCGAGAGATGTGGTGGGGGATAGAGACAGATAAGACTGTAAATAAAATTAAAAAATCATTAAAAATTTTATGCTTGACATTATGGTGCAATTATTACTTTAATAATAAAAATTAATATATTTAATTTTTGTACATTTAAACTTGTAAGTAATATGGACTAAATATATTTTTACAAGTAAAGTCAAGGGTGTTTCCATTAATCTGATATTTTGTACAATGCCAATTATGTGTAACAATTCAAATAATGTTTACAATAATAAAACAATTAAAAATATTTTTAGGATAATTAATAATTTTAATAGACAATATTTATCAATCATTTCTCATGCCAGGCATTGTGCTTTTGCTTACATCATATCATTTAATTTCCGTTACCCTCTGAGGTAGGTCTTGTTATGATTCCTATCTTGCACATGACACCTGAAAAACAGTAATGTTAAACAACTTGTACAAAGTTACCCAGCTATGAAGTCCAGCCAGCCTTCCAGCCACAGCATTCTTATTCCAGAATCCAAGCTTTAAACACTCCTCAGTATTGTCTTCTCAAATGCATTTTGTTCTACATCCCATTCCTTGTTGATTGCAATTTGGAATTTGAATTTTTTGTTGAGTATTCTGAAGCTCTGTATAGGAATATTGTGGGATGAAATGTACCTCCTTGTCCCTCACCCCCCTCAAAGAAAGCCATTGAAATCCTAATCCTTGGTACCTAGGAATGTAATAGTATTTGGAAATAGGGTCTTTGCAGATGCGATTAAGTTCAGATGAAGTCTGACTGTATTAGGGTGGGCCATAAATCCAATGACTGGTGTCCTTATAAGAAGACAGAGATTTAAAGACATAGAGGAATCACGGGGAAGAAGGCCAAGTGATAACAAAGACTGGGGTGATGCATTGAGAAACCAAGAAATGCCAATTGTTGGCAAACACCAGAAGCTAATCCACCAAAGCTATCAAAGACAGCATGCCTTGCTGACACTCGAATTTCAGGCTCTAACTATGGTAGAATACATGTCTGTTATTGTTAGCTGCCCAATATATGGAAATTTGTTATGGCATCATGGAGAAGCTGAAACAATGAATTGTTGACCTGATAACAATATCTGACTCTCGCATATGGGATAGGGATATGGGGTTAAAACTGTGCCATGCATTTGTTATTCAACAAAGATTCAGAAAGCATTTGGACAGCTTTGAGAGTCTCATATGACACATGAATTATAAAGAATAAGTTAGTTGTACTACTTAAATGATATGTCCCATCTTTTATCCAAAAAATATATATTACTAAGTGTTTAAATTTATCCTTGGTGATGTCACTCAAAACGATACACATATATATATAACTACAGATTAAAGAAACTATAGTAGGGTCAAGACGGAGCAAGAGGAAAATAAGAAGGAGTTACCAGATGAAATGTTTGCATTTTAAGAAGAGAATGAAAGGGGGTTTGAGAAATCAGTAAAGGGACTTAGGAAGATAATGGAAAGATTTGGCAGTATCTTATAACTTGGCAAAGAAACCTTATCTTAAAATGGACAGTAAGAAACTCTGGAGTGATGGGGTGTACATCCTATGGCTGACCTCAAAAGACAATTCCAAAGTCAAGTTGCAGATAACCAATCCACTCTGGAACCCAAGCTAATGATGGAGAAGAAAAAAATGAGTCATTGATGAAAAACAAAGTACTGGGAAGGAAAGTCTTTGAAATCAGTGATTTAAAATGTTGCTGAAAGTAGAAGAGACTGGATATATACATAGAAGTGTATGTACTCATAATTTTATTACTGGATCCTTTTGGCAGGGGCTGGCAGACTAAGATCTTACTTTATATGACTGAGTCATGCACAGATTGTGCTGATGGTGTTTAATATTTTGAGTAACCACAGGCTTTCCTTTTATAGCACTTTTAGTAATAAGCCTGGAAGCACTTTGATTTTATACATTTTTAGAATAGTTACTGTATTAGTGTTCTATTACCCCTGAAACAAATTACCACAAACTTAATGGCTTAAAATATCACACATTATTGTCTTATTGTTTAGGAGGTGAGAATTTGACACAGGTCTCACTGGGCTAAAACCAAGGAGTCTGCAGGAATGTGTTCCTTTGTAAAGGCTATAGGAGACAATGTGTCTCCCTATCTTTTTAGCTTCTAGAAACTTTATTCATCCCTTAGCTCTTGAACATCTTTCAAAACCAGAACAATTGCATCTCTCTGATTACTCTTCTGTAGTCATCTTCCTCTGGCGAAAGCTGGGAAAGATTTTCTGATTTTAAAGATTAATTTGATTATATTATTACCATTTGGATAATCCATGATACTCTTCCCATCTCAAGATCTTTTAACTTCCATCACATCTACAAAGTCCCTTTAGCCACATCAGGTAACAATTTGCAGGTTCAGGGATTAGATCATGGACATCTTCTGTGGGCCCGTGTTCTGCCTCCCACAGCTGCTAAAACAAGACAATGTTTTGGGTAACCATTTATTTTTTTTCTCGCACATGTCAGTTTTGATCCCATTTCTCTGTCTTTTTGTTGTTGTTGTTGTTGTTGTTTTGAGGCAGGGTTTTGCTCTGCCTGTCACCCAGCTGGAGTGCAATGGTGCAATTATGGCTCACTGCAGCCTCGACCTCTCCGGCTCAAGCGATCCTCCCACTTCAGCCTCCCAAGTACTTGGGATTACAGGCATGCACCACCATGCCAGGCTAATTTTTAAATTTAAAATTTTTAAAATTTAAATTTAAAATTCTAAAAATTTAAAATTTTTAAAGTTTAAATTTTAAATTTTAAAAATTTAAATTTTTAAATTAAATTTTGTAGAGACAGAGTTTCACCATGTTGCCCAGGTTGATCTTGAACTCCTGAGTTCAAGCCATCTTTCCTTCTTGCTTCCCAAAGTGCTGGGATTACAGGCATGAGCCACCACACCTGGCCTTTAAAAAAAAAAAAAAAAAAAAAAAAAAAAAAAAAAAAAAAGCTTTTTTGAGGTATATTGATATACAAGAAACTGTATATATTTGAAGTATATAATTTAATGACTTTTGACATGTGTATACATCTGTGAAACTATCAACCTCAATCAAGGTAATGACTCTACTCATTACCTCCACTATTTTCTTCATTTTCCTCCTACTTCCCCTCCATTTTCTTTGTAGTAAGAACACTTAACATGAGATCTACCCTATTAGCACATTTTTAAGTACATATCATAGGATTGTTAATTATAGGCACAACGCTGTACAGCAGATCTCTAGAACTGGTTCACTTTGCCTAACTGAAACCTGATACCCATCTTATAGAAACCCCTCATTTCTTTCTCCCAGCCCCCACTCCCCGCCCCCGGTTCCTGGCAACCACCATTCTACTCTGTATGAGTTTCTATGAGATTGGCTATTTTAATACCTTACATAAGTGGAGTTGTGCAGTATTTGTCGTTCTGTGACTGATTATTTCACTTGGCATGATGTCCTCCGCATTCATCTACGTTGCAACATAGGGCAAGATTTCTTCCTTTTTCATCTTTTTTTCCTTTTCCCTCCCTCCTTCCTTCCTTTCTTCCTTCCTTCCTTCCTTCCTTCCTCTATTAGACCAGTTCTTGTTATGTTGCCCAGGCTTGTCTTGAGCTCCTGGTCTCAAGCTATCCTCCCGCCTCAGCCTTCTGAGTAGCTGGAATTACACGCATATACCACTGTGCACAGCTTCTTCCATTTTAAAGGCTGAGCAATATTCTATTGCACATATACACAGAATTTTCCTTATCCATTCATCCACTGATGGATATATAGGTTGTTTCCATATCTTGAATACTGTGAATAATGCTGCAGTGAACATGGGAGAGCTGATATCTCTTCAAGATTCTGATTTTAATTCTTTTGGATATATACCCAGAAGTGCGATTGCTGGATCATATGGTAGGTCACTTTTAATATTTTGAGGAGGTTCTGTTAGTGGCTAGACCACTTTACATTCCTCCTAACAGTGCACAGGGTACGCCAATTTCACCACATGCTTGCCAACAGTGTTATCTTTTGTTTTTGTTTTGTTTTGGTAATAGCTATCTTAACAGGTGTGAGGTGTTATTTCATTGTGGTTTTGATTTGTTTCCCCGGTGATTAGGGATATTGAGAAACTTTTCCTATTCCTGTTGGCTATTTGTATGTCTTCTTTAGAGAAGTGCTTATTCAAGCATTAACTCATTTTAATTAGATTATTATCAATATTATTAATTGATTATTAATTTTTATTGAGTTGTATGAATTTTTCATATAGTTTGGACATTTTTCAGATATATGGTTTGCAATATTTTCTACCATTTTGTAGGCTGCCATTTCACTCTGCTAATTTTTTTTCTGTACCAATGCTTCTTAGTTTGATACAGGCACCCCTGCCTATTTTTGCATTTGTTGCCTGTGCTTTTGGTGTCATATCCAAGATATAATTGCCAAGATCAATGCCAAGATTTTCCTCTATGTTTTCTTCTGTTTTATAGTTTCAGCTCTTATATTTAAAACTTTAGTTGTTTTGAGTTTACTTTTTTTGTGCATGGTGTAAGATAAATTCTAATTGTATTCTCTTTCATGTAGATATCCAGTTTTTCCAACAGCATTTGTTGAAGAGACTATCCTTGCCCAATTGTATATCCTTGGCATCCTGTTCTAAGACCAGACAACCATGTATATGTGGGTTTATTTCTGGTCTTTCCATTCTGTTCCACTTGTCTATTTGTCCGTCTTTATACTGGTACTATACTGTTGTATTTATGCAGCTTTGGAATATATTTTGAAATCAGGAAGAGTGATGCCTCCAGGTTTGTCCTTCATTCTCCAGATTGCTTTGGCTGTTCTAGGTCTTTTGTGGTTCCATATACATTTTAGAATTTATTTTTCGTTTATGTAAAAAATGCCATTGGGATTTTGATGAGGATTGCATTGAATCTATATATTGCTTTTAGTAGTGTGGACCTTTTAACAATATTAAGTTTGCCAATCCGTGAAGGCATAATATTGTTTCATTTATTTGTGTCTTTAATTTATCATTTGTACTTTTCAGTGTACAAATTTTTCTCCTTTTGGTTAAGTTTATTCTTAAGTTTCTCTGTGATATTATCGTGGTTGGGATTCTCTAAAATTTCCTTTTTGAATAGTTTGCTCTTAGTATGTGGAAACACAACTGATTTTTGTATATTAATTTTATATCCTGCAACTGTACTAAATGAATTTTTTAATTCTAACTTTTTTTGTGTGTGTGGAGTCCTTTGAGTTTTCTACATATAAGATTATGTCATCTGCAAATGGATAATTTTCCTTCTTGTTTTCTGATTTGTATACCATTTATTTATTCTTCTTGCCCAATTTGTCTGGCTAGGACTTCCAGTACTATATTGCATAGAAACAGCAAGAGTGAGCATCCTTGTCTTATTCCTGATCTTAGAGGAAAACTTTCGGTTTTTTTACTACTATGTATTAGCTATGGGTTTTTCATATGTGGCCTTTATTATGTTGAGGTATATTCCTTCCAAACCTAGTTTCTTGAGGGTTTTTGTTATCATGAGTGTTGAATCTTGTGAAACACTTTTTCTTCATCTATTAAGGGATTATGTTCTGCTTATGCTTTATTCTGTGAATGTGGTGTAACATTGAATATATATATAACCAAAAGAGAATAGTGGTGGATATATATATATATATATATAACATATATATGTTCAATGTATATATATTCAATGTGTGTGCATATATATTCTATATATAAATATATGTATATATATTTGTCCACCACTACTCTCTTTGGTTATAATATATATATTTGGTTACATATATATATGTGTATATATACACACACACACACACACACACACACAGACGCACACGCACACACACACACACATACATACTTATATGTTGACCACTACTCTCTTTTGGTTACCATTTGCATGGAATATCTTTTTACGTCCCTCCAATTTGACCTTATGTGTATCTTTAATTCTAAAGTGACTCTATTGTAGACAGAATATAGTTGGATCTTATCTTTTCCACCATCCAGCCACAATATGTATTTGACTGGGGAGTTTAATCCATTTGTGTTTAAATTATTTATTGATAGAGAAGAACTTACTATTTCCATTTTGTTAAATTTTTTTCCTGTCTTTTAGCTCTTTTTCCCCTTTTATTTTTCTTTCTTGCTATCTTTCTTTGATAATCTCTGATTTCTTTCTCTTTTTCTTTCATGTATCTCTTATAGGTATTTCCTTTGTGGTTACCATGCAGCTTCCGTAAACCATCTTAAAACACTCTATTTCTAGCTCTGTACAACTTACCTTTAATCCCATATGAAAACCAGACGCTTTTATTTTCCCTCATCCCATGTCTTATGTTTTTGATGTCACAATTTGTATCTTTTTATATTCTGTGTCCATTAGCAAATTACTGTAACTATAATCATTTTTAATACTTTTTTTAATCTTTATGAGTGATGTACACAGCACCATTACACTGTTAGAATATGCCCCTAGGCATCTAAACTATGCCAATTTCATCAGCACTGCAAATGAGGCAAGATAGAAACTGGTCCCTTGGGCAGCACTCCAAAAGGCCAAGGGATGTTGGACACAAACTCCTTTCATTCTCTCCAAGGGAGAAGTTTTGGGCTAAGATAATCTCTCAGAACTGAGCTGTGCCAGCTTATGGGAGAGGTTGACTTGAGTAAAGAGAAGTTCCTCTTCTTATCTATTTCAGTACCACTGTTATTAGCTCTGTGTGCACTGGGGGCATTGCAACCTCTTAACAGGGTGCTTGACTCCTTGTAAAGGTATTCTGGTGGTCTGTGTATCACTATTAAATTGTTATTTCTGCGGAGGGGACGAGGACTTTGACTTTCTATTCCACCATCTTGCTCTACCATTTCACCATTCATGTTTTCATATTTAAATATTCTCATTACAAAACAATCATCAGAAAACATGGTTAGTCATTAATTTATAATGTTATTTTTTTGTTTGGATCTTTCAGGTATTATCATCTGCTTATACATTTCTTATAAGTAAGCAACAGATTTGATCTTCTGAAGATAATTAAATAAATTTTGTTGATGCATTTAATTTAGTTTAGATGAAAAAATGGGTTTGCTTTACTCTGACTATGCTATATTTATAGTTCTTGACTTTCCCCCCTCTTGGGGCTAACCATCCACTTACAGTGTTAAAGCTGGGTCAAGCTCCTTTGTGGCTCTACACATGTACACATTTTATACCCACTACTTTGGAAGTCACTCTTTTCTTTCTCATTGCCTCCTCTCTCAAAATCTTCTACTCATCAACTTCTGAATAGTCCTATCACAAGTAAAGAAACTGAATTAATAATTAAATATCTTCCTACAGACGAAAGCTCCAAGTCAGATGACTTCACTGGTGAGCTCTTTCAAATAAATAATAAATAATAATCCTTTACAAAATCTTTCAGGAAAAACACTTCCCTATTAGTACTATGAGGTCAGTATTACCCTGATACCAAATCCAGACAAAACCATCACCCTAAATTAAAAACCAATATTTCTAATGATATAAATGCAAAAATCTTTAACAAATGTGTACAAACAATAACAACTATGGTAGAGGATGTGAAGAAACAGAAACTTACATGCATTGCCGTTGGGGTTGTAAAATAATGCAGACATTATAAAAAATAGTTTGGGCAGTTTTTCCAAAAATAAGTTGAGTTCACCATGTGACTCAACAATCCTGCTCTTAGGATGTAACAAAGAGAATTAAAAATATATGTCCACACAATGACTTGTATGCAAGTATTCATAGCAGCAATATTCATAAGAGCCAAAAAGTGAAAACGACTCAAACATCAACTGATGATTGGATCAACAAAATGTTGTATGTTTATTCAATGAAATACGATATGACAATATAAATGAATAAACCACCTATACATGCTACATGTATTAGTCAGGGTTCTCTAGAGGGACAGAACTAATAGGATATGTATATTTATATATAAAGGGGAGTTTATTAAGGAGTATTAACTCACACGATCACAAGGTCCTACAGTAGGCTGTCTGCAAGCTGAGAAGCAAGGAAGCCAGTTTGAGTCCCAAAGCTGAAGAACTTGGAGTCCCATGTTCAAAGGCAGGAAGCATGCAGCACGGAAAAATGATGTAGGCCAGAAGACAAAACCAATCTAGCCTTTCCACATTCTTCTGCCTGCTTTAATTCTGGCCATGCTGGCAGCTGATTAGATGGTGCCCACTCAGATTGTGGGTGGGTCTGCCTTTCCCAGTCCACTAAAAATGGTAATCCTGTTGGCAACACCGTCATAGCCACACCCAGGAACAATACTTTGCATCCTTCAACCCAATCAAGTTGACACTCAATATTAACCATCACACTACAATATGCATGATTTCAAAACCATGCTAAGTGAAAAATCCAGACATTAAAGACTACATATGTTATAAGTTAATTTACAAGAAATATCTGGAGAGCAAATAAGTGTTTGTCTGAGCCTGAGGGAGAGAAAAGAGATTGCAAAGGTCATCGGAAGATTTAAAGTATTATAAAACTTGATAGTTATAATTGCTTAACTCTATAAATATACTAAATTTCAATGAATTATATACTTACATAACTCTATAAGTATACTAAATTTCAATGAATTATATACTTATATAACTCTATAAATGTACTAAATTTCAATGATTATATACTTACATAAGTTAATTTTATGATAACTTAAATTATACCCCAATAAAATGTATAAAACAATCTGCAAGAGATGAGGTCAGAAGGTGTAGATGAAACAATTTTAAAAATGGGCTGACAATTATTAAATCTAAGTGATGCCTATTATAGATTCGTTATACTATTCTCTCTACTGTTGTGTATGTTTGAAAATTTAACAAAATGTTAAAATAGGAAAATGATGACAGTAACCTTATGGCTTAGAAATATTCAGGACAAGATTAGTAGTTCTTGTGAAAGTTTCTTTAAAAGCTATAAGAAGAACATAATTTTTCCAAATCTTTATTTTATTCTTCCAAAGCTGTGTTTTATATAACATAATTAAGTTTAAGTATTCAGACTCACGCAGAAAGCAAAATTTCATTGATATATTACATCATAGGCAAGTTACTTGTGGTTTTCCTGAAGCAAATATTTATATAGAACTTAGATAATTTTTTTAAGAAAAGTCAAAAAAGAGAATAAAAGCATTTGTGTCTTCTGGAAGTACAGGAATTAGAAAGTTTCAATTTTTTTAAGAATCTTTCTATCAATTATATTTTGTTCTCATTCTCTTTCTTTTCTCTCCTCTCTTTTCTTCTCTTTTCCTTCTTTTTTCCTTCCCTCCCATCCCATCCCTCCCTCCCTTCCCTCCTTCCCTGCCTTCCTCCCTCCTTCCCTCCTTTCCTTCCTTCCTTCCTTCCTTTCCTCCTTCCTTCCTTCGCACCTCAAAAGAGAAGCTAGGAATGTTTTTCCTCTTATCAAAAGCATGTTATGAATAACAGCACAATACACAAATACATTTTCAGCATGGGGAAAATCCCTGCCTTTTAATGAAATTTTGTATTGGAACATATTTTTTAAACCAAATAGAATCTATTAAAAACAGCATGGATACATGCTCTCCAACTTTCTATCGGCTGATTTTTTTCATAATCTGTTCCTGGATTATCTCAAGTTGCTATTTCTTTGTGTACCTTCAGTAATGGGAGTAGACATAGTTAGAATTGTGACTTACTTTAATAAAACAGTTTTACTAGGAGAAGCAGGTGACAGTCAGATTGTAATGGATGTGTGCACTTTCTGATCATGGCACATCACACTCTTTTCTGTTAGAAAGTGGTTCCGCGCTAATGTACTAAACTTGATGATTTGAAAAGACATGTCTCTCAAGTTGCCATTATGTATAAATCTCATATTTAGAGGTATAGTGGAAAAGCTACATGTATTCTGACACATTAGGTCTAATCCTAGGTGGCATCACAGCTATTAGATGCATTTTTGGCCAAAATGTTTATCCTCCCTGATACTCAATTGATATGTTTGTCAATGGTAACATTAATGCTCATTTCCAAGCTGATTGTAGGAGATTAAATAAATTAATACATGTCCAATGCCTACCATACAGTAGAAATTCAGTAAGTGGTTATGTTTTTCATTGTGTGGGTACTGTTCTATATTATATATTATCCTATTATATATATTTGTTTAATATGATGATGTTCAGAAAGTACTAAATATAAATATTGTTGTGGAAGAACGTAGTCATTGCTTTTGGGAAATGTATTCTTTTTAACATGGTTAGGTTAAGCAATTGGTAGAAATAACATTTACTGAATGCTTACTCTATGGCACTCTTCTAAACTCTTTATAATCAGTATTTTATTTCGGAAATAGATGCTATTCTGATCTACATTTTATAAATTAGGGAAGGCCGAGAGTGGTTAAGTAACATGACCAGTGTTGTTTCAATAATAAAGTGGCATAGCTCAGAAATGAACATCAGCAGTCTTGTAATGGTTAAAAACGAGGTTCCTCTGTCAATTTCCTTGTTCAAGGAACTTCAGAGTATTAAATGAGTGAGTCCATAGAAAGCATATATCTGCCAGGTTCTATGCTGAAAATTGGATTTGAATAGTCTCATTTAATCTTCATAACTACTTTTTGAGGCAGGTTCTATTATTATCTTCATTTTAAAGATTCAGAAACCGAAACTCAGCAATGTAAAGGTTGTTTGCTTGAGCATAAAATCACACACACAAAAAGATTATTTGACAAATTACCTAGATAATAGATAAGTCCCTATTTGTATTAATTGAAAAGTAGAGGGCTGCAAAATGCTGTGTGCAAAAAGGGATCTTGTGGTCATTTAAAATTTTTTTTCCTTGTGGAATATCTTTTCTTACCAATTCATGAAATGTTGATTTCTCAACGGGTCCTTAAAGTTTTAGAGTGAAGAATTGTATCAAACATTGTTTTTACCAAGATTTTTAAAAACATTTTGGCTATGAAATTTCTTGATTTTTTTGGTGGTTGTTATTTCTGGCATGCTGTAGAACAAGCATTTCATGGAACATGCTTCCAAATATATTGTTTTCATAGCAGTAGGTGTCCTTAAAGCCATGCTTACAGGTAGCGTTGTGACATTTAGGTGATGGATACCCTGAATGATAATGCTATGCTCCATATTCACAGGGATGAAATAAGAATAAGGAGGCCCAATGAATTCCTGAATATTCCATGATGAATTGTTAGCTTTTAAAAATTATCAAACCGGGCCGGGCGCGGTGGCTCACGTCTGTAATCCCAGCACTTTGGGAGGCCGAGGCGGGTGGATCACGAGGTCACGAGGCACCATCCTGGCTAACATGGTGAAACCTCGTCTCTACTAAAAATGCAAAAATTAGCCGGGCATGGTGGCAGGCGCCTATAGTCCCAGCTGCTCAAGAGGCTGAGGCAGGAGAATGGCGTGAACCCGGAAGGCGGAGCTTGCAGTGAGCCGAGATCACGCCACTGCACTCCAGCCTGGGCGATAGAGCGAGACTCCGTCTCAAAAAAAAAAAAAAAAAATTATCAAACCAGTTTTTTTTTTTTTCTGCACTCATCTTAATCGATCCCATGAATATGTGGCTAGTTTATGGATTAAGTAAACCAGTCCTAGATGCGTAGAGTTTATCCTCTGGATGGCGTTGCTAAAGGAAATATACTCAAATCTATTGTATAATCGTTGAACACTTCTTGAGTGGGCACTGATAATTTCAACCGCTGTGTCATTTTTTATCTACTTCATTTAGTTATCTTCTACGTTTTATTTTATTATAGTAAAATTATGTTTATCCTCACTCCCTGAGAAACGTTATTTGGGTTTACAAGATTCTGTTTAAATACATTACATGTACATTTTACAGTTTCATTGTTAGAAAACTTTAATTCAATAATTGTTATTGTTTTTATTGTCACGTATAGGCTGCCAGGGGCTATTTCAACTTACTTAAAAGCCGTAAGGTTTTCAAAGGCTATTTAATGCTTCACATATAGCTAAATGAACTCATAAGCTAAGTGGAAGGAAAGCATGCTAAAGATTATACATATGTAAAATTTAAGATTATTAAAGAAGTTAAATATGTAAATAATCAAAGGTGATTTATTTTGAAATTTACCTACATGCTAATAGAATTTGTTTATTTATTTATTCATTTAGTTATCTGTGTATTGTATTTGTCAACTTTGTTAGAGTAATGGAGGACTTCACAAATCTAAATGGCTTACCACAACAAATATTTATTTTCTGCTCATGCTATTTGTCTGCGACGGATATGGGCCAAATAGCAGTCCCTATTTCAGATATGACATTGTAGTGGTAGAAGAAAAAGTACAAGAGTTGGAATAAACATATACGGCATTTTAGACCCTGGTTAAGTATGGTGTATATTGTTTCTGCTTACATTTCATTATGAAAAGCAAGTTCAGATGGACAGGGCAGTATTGTCCTCCCACAGAGGATACTGAAAGCCCATTGTGATGAGAGGAAGAAGCACATGCTCTCATGGAAACCAGAAATGAATGATTAGAATTCTTGGCAACAATATTTGTAATTTACCATATTTACTGTCATCTTTTATTATTGTTATTATATTTACCACTTTCATTACTTTTTTTTTTTTTTTTTTTTTTTGAGACTGAGTCTCACTCTGTCGCCCAGGCTGGAGTGCAGTGGCGGGATCTCAGCTCACTGCAACCTCTGCCATCTGGGTTCAAGCAGTTCTCATGCCTCAGCCTCCTGAGGAGCTGGGACTACAGGCGACTCTAGGCGCACGCCATCACACCCAGCTAATTTTTGTATTTTTAGTAGAGATGGAATTTCACCATGTTGGCCAGGCTGGTCTCAAACTCCTGAGCTCAAGTGATCCACCTGCCTCGGCCTCCCAAAGTGCTGGGATTACAGGCATGAGCCACCACGCCTGGCCTTTCATTGCTCTTATGATATGTTTGGTACTGCTGTAAGCACTTTCAAATATTAACTTATTTAGACTTAATAACAGTCCTAAAAGGTAGGTGCTATTATTAACCCCAGTTTACAGGTGCGAAAATGTTGACACAGTGAAATTAAGTAAAGTTACCAGAGGTTAGTAAGTTTGCAAGTGGCCAAGATTTGCTCCAGCCTAAGGAATCTGGCTCCAAGTTCTATGCTGTTCAGGTTCTCACCCAGAGACAGCCAGAGAGGCAGCATATTATAATAGTAATAGATGATTTCTGTTTTCTTCTTTATAATTTTTAATAGTTTTAGAATTCTTTAAAAAAAAAGACAATAGCAAAGACTTGGAACCAACCCAAATGTCCAACAATGATAGACTGGATTAAGAAAATGTGGCACATATACACCATGAGATACTATGCAGCCATAAAAAATGATGACTTCATGTCCTTTGTAGGGACATGGATGAAATTGGAAATCATCATTCTCAGTAAACTATCGCAAGAACAAAAAACCAAACACCGCATATTCTCACTCATAGGTGGGAATTGAACAATGAGAACACATGGACACAGGAAGGGGAACATCACACTCTGGGGACTGTTGTGGGGTTGGGGGAGGGGGGAGGGATAGCACTGGGAGATATACCTAATGCTAGATGACGAGTTAGGGGGTGCAGCGCACCAGCATGTCACATGTATACATATGTAACTAACCTGCACATTGTGCACATGTACCTTAAAACTTAAAGTATAATTAAAAAAAAAAAAAAAAGGACAGAGTCTCGCTCTGTCATCCAGCCTGGAATGCAGTGGTGCAATCTCGGCTCACCTCAAACTTCGCCTTCCAGGTTCAAGAGATTCTTGTACCTCAGCCTCCTGAGTAGCTGGGATTACAGGCATGTACCACCATGCCCAGCAAATTTTTGTATTTTTAGTAGAGACAGTGTTTCACCACGTTGGCCAGGCTGGTCTCAAACTCCTAATCTCAGGTGATCCACCTGCCTCGGCCTCCCAAACTGTTGAGGTTACAGGCGTGAGCCACTGTGCCCAGCCTAGAAATCTTTACAAGGTTTTTTTATTTCTTTGCTATTCTAAATTAAATGAAATCATCAAAATGGTGAGAAGACACAACCTGTTAAAATGTTTTATTTTTGTGTCTCAGGGGAAAACATTTTCAAACGCATTTGATTTAATCTTCTGATAGTATCTCATTATCTCTCTTTTTCCCCACAACCCCGAAATATAAAAGATGGCTTTGCCATTTTCCCCTATTTCAGCATCGTGGAAAGAAAGTTCTGATTTTCAGTGTCCTAAACTGAATCATTTAACCTAAGTCCTTAATGCCAAGATATTAATAGACCTCTTATTATATTGTCACCAGCCAAGGACTTATAAAAAGTTGACAAGTATTCACTAACTATGAATATGTCCTTTGTGTCAGGCACGGTGCATGTTAAATCAATAACGTGGGATTTTCATGCTGTGTAACATGTCATATTGTGGGGTTTTTTTTTCTTAAACAATAGAAATATATTGCCACATGGTCTAGGAGGCTAGAAGTCCCAAATCAAGGTGTCACAGAGATTGATTTCTTCTGAGGGATATGAAGGAAGGCTCTGTTCTAGACTCTTCTCTTTGGCTTGTAGATAGCCATTTTGTGCTTCTCTTTTCATGTCATATTCCTGTACACTCTGCCTATCTAAATCTAAATTTTTCCTTTCATAAGGACACTAGTCATATTGGATTAGAAAACCATGCTGCTCTAGGATGACCTTTTCTTAACTAATTACATCTTCAATTACTCTATTTCAAATACAATTACATTCTGAGGCACTGGGAGTTAGGACTTCAATATATGAATTTTTGAGAAACACCATTCGATCTATAACATCTGGTCTTTTTCTCTTTTGAGAAGTTTCGGTATGTTCTATGTATAGTGTTATTTTTTGTCTCCACTTGCTTTTAAGTTTTTCTTTTAATATTTGGTAATTTTGCAGTTTATTACAATATTTACAGGTATGAATTTATTCTTATTTATCCTGCTTGAGACCCAATGAATTGTTGTTTTTAATATAAAAGTGTTCATGTCTTTTATCACTTCTGAGAAATTCCCTTCATGTATTGGCTCTACCACACTGAAAAACAAATATTGAGTAATTTCATCACTTAGTTAACAATGTTGTTACTTAATTAACAAATTACTAGTTCATGTTTGTATTTGGTGATCTCACTCTTTTCAAGTGTCCAGTCTCTCTTCCGTGTTTTTAATCTTTTTCTGTCTATGTGCTGGCATTCTGGGTAATTCCTAAAATCCATATTCTAGTTCAGAGATTCTTCCTTTAGCTGCACCTACTCTGCCTTTAACTGGTCTTTTAAAAAAATCACATTGTTTTCCCTGTGGTTTTATTTGGTTATTTTTCAAACATGCCTATTCTTGGCCAGGCACAGTGGCTCATCCATGCAGACCCAGCACTTTGGGAGGCAGAGGCGGGAAGATCACCTGAGGTCAGAAGTTCAAGACCAGCCTGGTCAACATGGTGAAACCACGTCTTTATTTAAAATAAAGAAAAAATTAGCTGGGCATAGTGGTGCACGCCTGTAATCCCAGGTACTCGGGTGGCTGAGGCAAGAGAATCGCTTGACCCCAGGAGGCAGAGGTTGCAGTGAGCAGAGACCTGCCACTGCATTCCAGCCCGGGCGACAGAGCAAGACTCTGTCAAAAAAAAAAAAAAAAAAAGGCTGTTCTTTAAAAATAACTTATTGTATGTTTTAGCTCCTTTTGTGTTGATATGATTAATTTAAACATATTTTCTCTACAATCCTTAACCATAATTCTTTAATTCTAATTTTATTTTAGATTTAGAGGGTACATATGTAAGTGTGTTACATGGGCACATTATGTAATGGTAATGTTTGGGCTTCTAGTGAACTCATCACCTAGATAGTGAATTTGTACCTAGTAGGTAACTTTTAACCCTCATCTCCCTCCCACCATTCCCTTTTGGGGTCCCCAGCATTTATTATTTTGGGACTTTTTCTTCCATGCTTACCCACTGTTTAGATCCCATTTATAAGTAAGAACATGCAGTATTTGATTTTCTGTTCTTGAGTTACTTCACTTAGAATAATGAACTCCAGCTCCATCCATGTTGCTGCGAATGACATAATATCATGCTTCATTATGGCTGCATAGTATTCTGTGGTGTATATATACCACATTTTCTTTATCCAGTCAAATGTTGGTAACACCTAGTTTGATTTCATGACTTTGCTATTGTGAATAATGCTGCAATAAACATAAAGGTGCAGATGTCTTCGTGAAGAAGAAATTTCTTCTCTTCAGGTAGATACTCATGAGTGGGGCTTCTGCATGAAATTGTAGTTCTATTTATAGTGCTTTGAGAAATATCCATACTGATTTCCATGGGGGTTGAACTAATTTACATTCCCATCAGCCTTGTATAGGTGTACTCTTTTCTCCATAGCCTCACCAGAATCTGTTATTTTTTTGGTCTTTTAATAATAGCCTTTCTGACTGCTGTGAGATGATATCTCATTGTGGTTTTAATTTGTATTTCTCTCATGATTAGTGATAGTTAGCGTTTTTTTCATTCTTTTCTTGGCCACATGTGTGTCTTCTTTTAAGAAGTGTCTGTTCGTGTCCTTTGCCCACTTTTTAATGTGGTTATTTTTGTTGTTGTTGTTAAGTTCTTTATGAATTCTGGATATTAGTCCTTTGTTTTCAAACAGTTTCTCCCATTCTGTAAGTTGTCTGTTTACTCTGTTGATTGTTTATTTTGCTGTGCAGAAGCTCTTTAAGTCTCATTTATCTATTTTTGTTTTTGTTGCATTTGCTTGTGAGGTCTTAGTCATAAATTCTTTACCTAGGCCAATGTTCAGAAGAGGTTTTCTTAGATTTTCTACTAGGATTTTTATAGTTTCAAGTCTCACATGTAAGTCTTTAATCTATATTGAGTTAATTTTTGTATATGGTCAGAGACAGGGGTCTAACTTCATTCTTCTGCATATGGCTGGCCAGTTTCCCCAGCATCATTTATTGAATAAGATATCTTTTTTTCCCATGGTTTATTTTTGTTGACTTTGTTGAATACCATTTGATTGTAGGCATGTGGCTTTATTTCTGAGGTCTATATTCTGTTTAAACAATTGATCTGTGTGTCTACTTTTGTGCCAGCATCATGCTGTTTTGGTTTCTATTTCCTTGTAGTATAGTTTGAAATCAGGTGATGTGATGCCTCCAGCTTTGTCCTTTTTGTTTAATAATGCTCTGTCTATTCAGGCTCTTTTTGAGTTGTATATGAATTTTAGAATTATTTTTCCTAATTCTGTCCAAAATAACACTGGTAACTTGATAGGAATTGCATTAAATCTTCAGATTGCTTTGGGAAGTATAGTCATTTTAACGATGTTGGTTCTTCCTATAGAATATTTTACCATTGGTTTGTGTCATCTAAGATTTCCTTCATCAGTGCTTTGTAGTTCTTCTTGTAAATATCTTTCACCTCCCTGGTTAAATATATTCCCGGATATTTTAATTTTTGTTTATTATAAATTATATTGAGTTCTTGATGTGGTTCTCAGCTTGAGCATTGTTGATGTGTAAGAATGCAACTGATTTTTGTGTGTTAATTTTGTATCCTGAAACTTTACTGAAGTTGTTTGTCAGGTTCAAGAGTCTTTTGAAGAAATCTTTAGGATTTTTTTGCATATAAGATTATGTCATCAGTGAACAGAGATAATTTTGAACTCTTCTTTTCCAATTTGGATGACTTTATTTCTTCCTCTTGACTAATTGCTCTGGCTAGGGCTTCCAGTACTGTGTTGAATAGAAGTTGTGAGAGTGGAAACCCTTGTCTTGAATTCTTAGGGAAAAAGCTTTCAATGTTTCCCCATTCCATATGATGATGGCTGTGGGTTTGTGGTATACAGCTCAAATAATTGAGGTACGTTCCTTCAATGCCTGGTTTCTTGAAGGTTTATATCATGAAGGGATGTTGGATTTTATGAAATTATTTTTCTGCATCCACTGAGATGTTCATTTAGGTTTTATTTATACTTTTTGATTATGTGGTGAAGCATATTTATTGATTTGCGTATTTTGAAATATTATTACATTCCTGAAATAAAATCTACTTTATTATGATGATTTCTCTTTTTTGATGTGCTGCTGGATTCTGTTTGCTAGTGTTTTGCTGAGGTTTTCGTATCTATGTTCATCAGGTGTATTGGCCTGTAGTTTTCTTTGTCTGTTGTGTCCTTGCCAGATTTTGATATCAGGATGCTACTGGTTTCATGGAACAATTTAAGGATTCAATTTCTTTTTTGTTCAATCTTGGGAGATTGTGTTTTCAAGAATTTATACATTTTCCCTAAGTTTTCTAGGTCGTGTGCATAGAGGAATTGATAGTAATCTCTAATGATTCTTTGTATTTCTGTGGTATCAGTTGTTATGTCACCTTTATCATTTCTGATTGTGCTTATTTGAATCTTCTCTCTCTCTCTCTCTCTCTCTCTCCCTCTCTCTCTCTCTCTCTATCTTTTGTTAATCTAGTTAGTGGTCTATCAATCTTGTTTATCCTTTCAAAGAACAAACTTTTGTTTTGTTGACCTTTTTATGATTTTTGGTATCAATTTCATTTACTTCTCTGTTCTTTGTTATTTAGTTTATTCTGCTAGCTTTGGGTTTGGCTTGTCCTTGTTTTCTAGTTTCTTGAGGTGTGATATTACATTGTTAATTTGTGATCTTTCTATCTTTTTGATGTAAGTATTTAGCACTATAAACTTTCCTCTCAATGCTATTTTTCATATGTTGTGTTTCTATTTTTGTTTATTTCAAAAAATGTTCTTGATTTTTGCCTTAATTTTGTTGTTTACCCAAAGTCATTCAGGAGGAGGTTAATTTCCATGTGCTTGTGTGACTTTGAGAATTCCTCTTGATATTGATTTCTAATATTATTCCATTGTGGTCTGAGAGGATACTTGATATGATTTTTATTGTTTTTTGAATTTATTGAGACTTGCTTTATAGTCAACCATGTGTTCAATTTTGCAGAATGTTCCATGTGCAGATGAGAAAATGTATATTCTGCAATTGTTGGGTGGAATTTTCTATAGATGTCTGTTAAGTCCATTTGGTCAAGAGACCAGCTTACTTCTAGAGTTTTGTTGTTGTTTTTGTTGTCATTGTTAGTTTCCTGCAATGATCTGTTTAATGCTGTCAGTAGGGTATCAAAGTTCACCATCATTATTTTATGGTTGTCTGTCTGTTTTCTTAAATGTAGTAGTATTTGTTTTAGAAACCTGAATATTCCACTATTGAGTGCGTATGTATTTAGGATAACTAAATCTTCTTGTTGAATTGAACCCTTTATCATTATATAATGCCCTTCTTTGTCTTCTTCTCCTTTTTTGGGGGGATTTTTGTTCTGGGTTTAAAGTCTGTGGCGTCTGACACAAGAATACCAACCCTGCTATTTTATGTTTTTCATTTGCATGAAATATTATTTTCTATCCCTTTATTTTGGGCCTGTGGGTGTCATTACACATCAGGTGGGTGTCTTGAAGGGTGAAGATGGTTGGGTCTTGCTTTTATTCCAGTTTGTCAGCCTATATTATTTCAGTGAAGTATTTAGGCCATTTACATTCAAGGTTAATAATGATATATGAGGTTTTGTTCCTTCTTAGTGTTTTTAGCTACTTGCTTTGTACTTTCAATTATGTAGTTGTTTTATAGGATCTGGGAACTTTATATTTGCATATGCTCTTAGGGCAGCAAGTACTACTGTTCTTTCATTTTTGCGGTTAAAACTCCTTTCAGCATTTCTTGTAGGACCAGTTTATTGGTGACTAATTCCCTTTGCACTTGCATGTCTCAGAAAAACTTTATTTCTCCTTTGTTTATGAAGCTTTGTTTGGCAGGATATAATATTCTTGGCTGGCAATTTTTTCTTTAAGAAGGCTAAAGATAAGCCCCCCATCTCTTCTAGCTTGTAAGGTTTCTGCTGAGAAGTCTGCTGTTAGTCTGATGGGATTCCCTTTGTAGGTGACTTGACCCTTTTCTCTAGTTGCCTTTAAGATTTTTCTTTAGCATTGATCTCGAATAATCTGATGACTCTATGCCTTGGTGATGTTCATCTTGTGTAGTATCTCACAGGTTTCCTCTGAACTTCTTGTATCTATATGTCCATCTCTCTAGCAAGATTAGAGAAAATTTCCTGAATTATTCACTCAAGTGTTTTCCAAATTGCTTACTTTTTCTTTTTCTCTCTCAGGAATGCCTATAAGTTGTAAGTTTGGTCACTTTACATAATTTCAGATTTCTTGAAGGTGTTTTCATGTTTTAAATTATTTTCTCTTTATTTTTGTCTGATTGAGTTAATTTAAATGACTGGTCTTCAGGCTGTAAGTTTTTTCTTCTGCTTCATCTAGCCTATTGTTGAAGCTTTCAACTGTGTTTTGAAATTCCTTTAGTGAATTTTGTAACTCCAAAAATTGTATTTGTTTTTTAAATATAGCTATCTTCTATTTTACGTTCAAATCATGTTTCTGTTTCTTTGTGTTCATTTTCAACTTTCTCTTGGATTGAGCTTCCTTGCAATCCATACTTTTAATTCTTTATTTGTCATTTGGGAATTTTAATTTTGGTTAGGGTCCATTGCTTGAGACCTACAACAATCCTTTGGAGGTGTCAAAACACTGTTGTTTTGAAACTATCATAAGAGCGAACAGACAACCTACAGAATGGGAGAAAAATTTTGTCATCTATTAGTCTGACCTTTGTCAGATATCCAGAATCTACAAGAAACTTAAGCAAATTTACAAGAAAAAACACAAAACCTTATTAAAAAGTGGGCAAAGGACATGAACAGACATTTCTCAAAAGAAGACATACATGCAGCCAACAAACATGAAAAAAAGCTCAACATCACTGATCATTAAAGAAACACAAATCAAAACCGCAATGAGATACCATCTCATGTCAGTCAGAATGATGATTACTAAAAAGTCAAGAAACAACAGAGGCTGGAGAGGTTGCAGAGAAATAGGAATGCTTTTACACTGTTAGCAGGAATGTAAATTAGTTCAACCATTGTGGAAGATTGTGGTGATTCCTCAAAGATTTAGAACCAGAAATACCATTTGACCCAGCAATCCCATTACTTGATATATAACCAAAGGAATATAAATCATTCTATTATAAAGATATTTGCACGTGTATGTTCATTGCTCCACTATTCATAATAGCAAAGACATGGAATCAATCCAAATGCCTATCAATAATAGATTGGATAAAGAAAATGTTGTATGTATACACTATGGAATACTATGTGTCCATAAAAAGGAATGAGATCATGTCTTATGGATGGACATGGATGAAGCTGAAAGCCATTATTCTCAGCAAACTAACGCTAGAACAGAAAACCAAACACCACATGTTCTCACTTGTAAGTAGGAGGTGAACAATGAGAACACATGGACACAGGGAGAGGAACAACACACACTGGGGCCTGTCCAGGGAGGGTGTGTGGCAGGGAGGACATCAGGAAAAATAGCCAATGCATGCTGGGCATAATACCTAGGTGATTGATTGAAAGGTGCAGCAAACCACCATGGCACACGTTTACCTATGTAACAAACCTGCACATCTACACATATACCCTGGAACTTAAACAAAAACAAACCCCAAAACACCTTATTTTTGTACTGCCAGAGTTCTTGTACTCATTCCTTATCATCTGAAGGAGCTGTTGCTTCTTATTTTTGAATATTCTATTGTTTAGATGAGATTTTTACATTTTTTATTATTTGTCCCTTGAGGTTATGACTGTGGTGTATGTTGTGTATGATCATTTGGTTTCTTTTCTGGGTGCTTTCAATGGGCTCTGTATGGGTTTCTCAGTTGTGGATAGCTTTTAGGCAGTGGCTTTCTCAAATGCTGCTTGTTATAGCAATGTATTGGATAAATGAGCCAACACGCTTAGCCCTGAGAGACTGAGAGTGGGAGATCTCAAGAGTGTATCTTGTACACTATCACTGGTTTGTTTTTTAAATTTGGTGGTGTGGTACAGTGTTCATACCAGTGGGTGGTGCTTGAGACTAAGAGCCAGCTCTACCTGGTGTAGCCCAATAATGAGTGGAGGCACCTGCCCTGATGGGAAGTGGTGGGGAAGATGTGTTAGGGTCCGCTTAGGTCTCAGGGGTAAGGGCAAGGTGGGAGGGTTGCACCAGCTCCTCATCCTGAGCAGTCCAGAATGTGATCCACTCTCCTACCATGCCTCTGTCATAGGGCTAACATCTTTCACCTCATATAGACATCGTCCTTTGGCTTCTGCCACATTGTGACTGGGGACTGAAGTCCCTCTCTAGCAGCTATAACCAAATTGGGCTGGGGTTTCCCAGCCCAGCACAGACAGGTGTGCATCCTGTATGCTCTCCATTGCCAGGACGCTGCTGTTTGGTGCAGGGAGTGGGAGATGGGCCTTGTCCTTTGTGTATGTCCTAGTAGCACAGGCTCACTTTCAACGGGGGTGCTGCCTTTGCAAAAAGTGCTGGGAAGGCTCTCTCCAGGTGGACTCTTCAACCTGGAGAGTCTCTGCACCATTCACAAAAGTTGACAGGGGGAGTAGGGGGATTACTCCCCTCTTCACTTTGTTTCTGTCCAGTGGTGCAACAACCTTCAGCAATTAGTGCTATGCCCATGTTTCCTTTGTTCCAAGAGGGGCTTTGGTGTGCTGTACTCCTTCATCACCAAGGGATTAGATCTACACCATGGGTTAAATCTCTGGGGATCCCACAGCTCCCCTGGAACCCACTGGTTCACTGTTGGGTTTCCAAAGTCAGAGTGGGCTGTGGGGTGTGTTTGCAGGGGATCTAGTGATGTACTGACACAAGGGCTGAGGTTCCCCAGGTAGGGCAGTGGCCCCCACCAGGTGCACAACCACTGTGGTACGTGCTGTCTCAGCTCGGGCCTGTGGGAAGTGTTGTTGCACCTACATGGGCTGTCCAGCTAGTGCTCTGTCCCTGGGAAGTTTGCAAATCACCATTGACAGCATTTCTTGGGGTCACAAGGGCAGAGGGGCCCCCTGACAATTTGGTGGTCACCAGATTGTCACAGGGGTAACAGGAGCAGAAAATCCTCCCCACCTACCCTTTCCTCAGGGCTCCAAGTTCCTTTGGGGTCAATCTCTTCTATACTCTTGCTGTTTCCCGTGTGCCCCAATTTCTTTTTGTGGGCTCTCCAACTTGTCCGGGCTGTCTTCACTCAGCTTTTCTTTCACATCATGACCATTCACCTATAACTTTGATCTTCTTTCGGAGACTTGGCATCTGACTTTTCTAGTCAGCCATACGCTTTCAATCTTGAGTGCACATTCTAGATAAATTTTTCTTTTTCCTATTTCATGCCAAATCCCATGTGAATAGTTCTGGAGGCTGGGAAGTTCAGGGTCATCAAGGTGACAGCAGTGTTATTGTATGGCGAGGACTTGCTCTCTGCTTCATACATGGCACTTTCTTGCTGTGTCCTCACATGGGGCAAGGAGCTTGTTTTCTAATGTATATGATTCTCAATGCTGTTATGGGAACAATTTACTATATACTTTTCTTTTTCCTAGGAATATTACCACTTCACTTCCATCCCCCTGACTTTAATTTTCTGGGATGGAGTATGACACAATTTAAGTTAAAATCCTAACACCATGACTTTATTTATGGTGATAACTCTAAGTCAAGTGTGATTATTTACAAGTAGTGTCTCAGTGAAATCAGAATGATTTGATGTAAGTGTTTCCTACAAGAATGCTAGTATTTGTAGGATCATGTTGTGGGGACATGCTGGGGACATGCTTTTCCCCAGTGGAATAATCTCTTTTGAGAAGTTAGATGAGCTATCATTATGTTGTGCCTCCATTTCTAATTCTATGAAATGGAGATAAGCATGTTTGATCAGCTCACGTCATGGACTTTTGTAATGGTATAATTGTATGTGCAAGAATATTAATAGTTAAGCATAATAATTTATTGTCATACTGATACTAATAATAGAATAACTCTTATTTCTCAATATTTATTGATTCCCTTATCTGATAAAAATGAATAAGCCAGTCCATCTCCTGACATGAAAATATATACCCATTTTACACAACAGTCCTAGCTCTACGGGCTCCTAAGCTTCTAAAACTCAAATCCTCCTGTAACTGCTGTGTCCAACCTTCTTAGGGAGACACTGTGATAGAAATAATTCCAACTTATACATGTTCATTTTGGTGGTTGACTTTGCACTCTAGTCATATTGCCAATTTCATATTTACTTAGAACAATGAATTAAAATTCAACAGGATGGATAATTCAGCCAATGCTCACTTTACTAACCAATTTTCTCAGAATTTGATTATGCTTGAAATAAATGTATTGAAATAGTAGTCAAGAATCCGGTTGAGTCTGTATATAAAAGGCATTTATATTATAATGAAGGTTCATTTTCTTCTAGAGACCATAGCATATTAAAATACCGGGTGACATTAAAATATTGTTATTAACCATAACTCAGACTTGAATCCACCATTGCACTATGTATGAACAATTGGAGGAGGATTAGAGGACAAATGTCAGAACCAAGTTTAATAAGCAGTGAGTGGGACATTTGAACTTGTCACAGGAGTAGCACTGTGGTGGACAGGCATTAATCTTTTCAAGTCATCAAACTTTTGAGTTTTCCTCCCCCCAACATTTATAGAAAGATTCAGGAGAGTATTTTAAAGAGCTCAGCAAATTGAAGTCTATATAGACTGTTCTTTTCATTTTAGAACCAGAGGACCATTAATTTTTTTAAAAAAGAGTATTGCTCTGATTCTAATCCTCAATTTAATACCTGCTTTTTATTTTCCAATTTGAGGGTGTAATTATGTAAGAATATCTTTCTTCCTTTTATAGAAGAAATAATGTTTATTAGTCATTAAGTGGTGACTGAAGACATAATGATAATAACTTCCATTTATCAAGCTCGTAATATGTGTCACCATATGGTACTAGGTGCTTCGTAAATATTATTTTGACTATTGTTAGTTTAAAATCTTCCTTCAAAATCTTCATTTTCTGGTCTGTAAAATAAACTCAATGATATTGAAATTAAAGGATTATGTGAATATTCTAAGGTCACAGTAAGCAGAAATAAAAAAAAATGGGATTGATCTCCCAAGATTTTTTTCCATAACCCTACAACTTTCCCCTAACAAAACTGGCATTTCTTGATGTCAGTATTGATGTCAGTTCACTGTGGTACCCCATTCAGTTTATCACAGGAATTGTATAAATTTAGAAATTAATTTGCTCAGTGGATTTCCAACAAATGGGGAGGGTTGTGTTTCCATTTAACTAAAAGTAACTTTGTAAATCCTACTGGATGGCCTTAACTAAGGCTGGAGAACATTCATTTTAAACTCTTCTGTTTGGAAATTAAAAGGAAAAGAAGGCTATGTCTACGATGTGTGGGCCTGTTATTTAGGAGTTTCTATTAGATGTCACATTAAGTAAATCAAAATTATGGCTAGGCCCGTGACGATCAGAGATATAAGGCAAGAATGTCATTAAAAGGAAAGATATGTTGACTATCAGAATGGTATGATTTTTAGTGTTGAATATCAGAATGGTATCAGTGTTTGTTTATTTTTTGAGGTGGGGGTCTTTCTATGTTGCTCAAGCTGATATTGAATTTTTGGGCTCAAGCAATCCTCCCATCTCAGCCTCTTGAGTAACTGGGATTACAGTCATGTACCACCATGCCTGACTTAGAAAGGAATGATTTTGAGGTGCCAAAAGCATATTGAAATGCCAAGAGAATGATTAGGACAGCAAATTCAAGGCACCAAGATGACACATGGAACCTGAGATATTCCTAGTTTCAACTTTTTGCTGGACATGGAGCCAATCAGAGCCCCAAGACAACTACATTTTTGACAACGGAAGAAGGTAATTTATGTTCTTCAGAAAGCAAAGCAGATTACTCACCCCAAGGGTTTGGAAGTATGAGATGACCTGGCAAAGTCTAGTTAATTTATATTAAGCCAGATTTAGTGTTTAGTGATTATAATGAGAAACTACAATTTACATAAATATTATTTGTCTATTATAACAAGGATTTTTTTAAAAAACTCAAACCAAATATGAATAATTTTAATGTCCTCATTAAGCATCAAGGAAGGAACTTGTTACAGTGTTACAATTTTACCTAATCTGCATTAGGTTGCAAAGTTATCTAATGCAGATTTCAAAAGGTTTCTAGTCACTATACATCAGGATGAAATTGGAGAACTTTGGAGTTGCATTCTTTAATTTTATGTGTCAACTTGCCTGTGCCACCCAGTGTCCAGATTAAACATTATTTCTGAGCGTGTCTGAAAGGGCATTTCCAGAGGAGATTAGCATTGCAATTGGTGGACTTGGATTTCCTTCCCAATGTGGTTGGACATCATCCAACCCATTGAGGCCTGAATAGGATGAAAAGGCAAAGGAAGGAAGAGTTCACTCTTTTTTAGCATCCTGCCTGACTGCTCGAGCTAGGATATCAGTCTTCTACCGCTCTTGTAATGGGGTTTAAAAGATCAGCTACCCTGGTTCTGATGCCTTGGCCTTGAGCTGAGATTACAGGACCAACTTTCCTCGGTCTCCAGTTTGTAGATGGCAGACCATGGGATTTCTCAGCTTCCATAATTGCATGACCCAAGTCTTCATAACAAATCTTTCCTTATATGGCCCTATTGGTTCTGTTTTTCTGGAGAACTCTGAATAATGCACCCCTAAATTTGAAGAGTGTTTACCATACTTTTTCTTCTTACACTTTTATTAAGTAGTTTATAAGTATGAGAGCACAGGGTTTTTTTATATTGCCACTTGATGACTAAATTATAATATTATCTAAGCCTGGTAATTGTTGTCAGTAGTTTCCTATTACTTTTGAGATAAAGCTTGGGGATCTCAGGAGGCCTATAGGGCAATATAAGACTTGGCCCGTGCTGGAATCTCTATCTTTTCCTATCTATCCTCCTGCCTATATGCCAGTCCCTAAGAGTATTATGCTGTCTGCACAATTTTTTTGATAGGCATTTTTTTTTTTTGCTTTTTTTTTTGGTTCCTACATTATCTATCTCCTGACATCTGCCCACAAACTGCTACTCACTTTTCAAGATGCCGGTCATGTATTATCTTTCTTCATGATACATTTTCTGACTTTTTACATCACCCCACTCTGAATGTTGGTCACATTGTGCATTTCATTTTGTTGGGATCTTCTGCCTCTCTCCAGTGTTGTGCTGATCACTCTGATCACTCTCTCATGCTTTCTTCTTTGCTCACCTCTGTCTTCCACTCTATATAGTAAGCTTATTGAAGGCACACTCTCTATTTTATAAAGTACCAAACTCCAGGCCTTTAACGATGTAGCCTAATAGATAGATAGTGTTTGCTGGTTCATACTCCATTCTAATTCCATTGTTTTATAAATGAAGAAATTAAGGACTAAGAGGGTTAAAAGACTTGCCCACAGCATTACACAGGCTGCTTATTATACATAATAGTTGTTAAATAGAAAGTATGGAAAGACAGTACACAGGATCTGCATTAATACAGGCGCAAAACACGTAAGAAATTCCAAATAGTGATGGCTTCCATGAGGAATAGAAGTATAATAATCATTTATAAAGCAAGCAAAGAAATCACTGGGAAACAACCAGTTCTTCCTCGTCTAAATTTCCTACAAGTATGAAAACAAACATAAAGACACCTGTTCTGTGGCCACTGTTTGTAGATTACTTTCTTAAAATGAAATGCAATAAACTCATCAGATATTTACAAAACAAATCCAGTTTAAAAATTCTGCAAAATATGCCACTTTATCAAAATACAATGATGAGCTCTATTCCTTTTGACACAATATAATCAGTGCCAAAATATAATACATTCAGTGAAATTCATCACAAAATGGGTTAGTTGGTGCTACAAAGGCAGTATTTTCTTTGTGACAAGGAGGGTAAATTTTGTTATAAGTTGATTCAGCCCTGCTCATCTTTGATTTTTATGATGGATATATATTTTTAGAAGTAGTGGATTTGTCTCTGACCCACCGGGTTCCTCCCAGAGACCACTAAAAAACTGGAGTGTCTACTAAACAGTTGACAGTTTCCTGGAGGCTGACATCACTGAAATTGGGGGATAAACCTTACGGAAGGTACCTAAGAGATAGAGAAGGAAATTAGGCTATCTCCTTCTCTCTCTTTCTATTTAAGCTTATGTGGAAGGGAATACATCTCTCTCAGCAACGGAATAACAATCTGAAGAAACAGACTACATACTTCTGCCATTGAAATTTTCCTGAATAGCTCTGCTTGAGAAATAGATTAATAGACTGTATTGCAAAGAAGAAGAGATGAGTCAAACTTCTATCTGGACTCAGGAAAACTTCTCAGACGGAGTCCATCTGGCAATGCCAAAGGGACTGACTCCACTAGGACTGAAAGATCAGGTTTGCACAGTTAAACCCCAATCCATCCTTATTTTATTTCCATCTGTACATAGAGCAGTTCTGCTTGCCTGGTTTCCATTCGTATTGGTTGCCTCATTTCATCATCAAAACATTTGTGTCAAGTGAATTTTATGTTCACCATTTGATAGACAAAAAAATTAGGCTTAGAGAAGCATTTATTCTTGGTCACAGAGGTTTTCTTATTTTTAATCTGGTTTCTGCATTATATGCTGAATTTTGGAGACAGAAAGACAATGGTTTGACTCCAGGTTTAGCCACTTGCTAATTGAGTGATCATGGGCAAGCCACTGTACTTCTTTGAGCCTCAGTTTCTTTTCTGAGGAACAGAAACAATCATATAAGCAAATTGCTGTAAGGATTGTGTCACATGAGGTATGACAAAAGCTTTATACGAAGCAGGGAAGGCTCAATAAATTTAACTTTCCTTTTTATTCCAGCTACACACTAGCTAGAGATGTTTGCTTGTTATCTTCAAGGTACTGGAAAACACAGTACCACACCCACAAAGTTTGTGAAAACTCAAGAATTATTTACCAGTGAGGCACTTTGAAATTTTAATCCTAGATTTCCCAGTGGTAAATAACTTTACGCTAAAAAAAAATCAAAATAAATGTACTAGTGCACTTGGCATCTATTTTCTCTGAGGAAAAAGCTGTGAAATGTTAACAGTCAACATCTCTTCAAATGTTGGAACATCTACCAACCATAGACATAGCTGTGTCTATCTGGAAGAATTAGGTCTCAAAAGAGAATTTGCTTTGCAAATACTCAACAGAAAATGTGCAGATAAAAAAAAAGTATAGCACACACATCTTTATACTGGTTAATTCAAAATGTCATAAGAGTAAATTTAAAGAAACAGGTAAATTAATTCATTTCCAGCCCAAAGCCGACTTTCAATCTTGTTTTCCCTGGATATTTATCTCTGAAAAAGCCTCTGAGATTTCTAGCAGGAGAAAGTCTATTAATTTTCCATATACTTGTTGATGCAAAAGCTATCAGGATTATGGGTTGAATATTTCTAGTATAGGGAAAGTAAGGGATGCAATTAATCTCTGTGAACTAAAATATACCCCTTTTCATTAACCTTTTATTGTAAATGAGCAAAGTAATTGAACCGGTACCACACTGTCAGAATGAATGCAATGCCGGTGGGATATGCTTGAGAGAGCACATACTGATTGAGTATTAAATATCTAACGGCAATAATTTATGGTTCATTAACTCTTTTGGAGTCTCTTAGTTGCATACAGCTTGAATTCTAAGTAGTCAGACTTTTAGTTGAAAACGGCTTTCAAATGCTGAAGGCAGCAAGTGCATGCAACCCACAATCCCCTTTAATATGGGCTGTTGTGTACCTACTTAAACTACAAGAAGAATATTTGATGCAGAGCTGATTGTTTTAAAGACAGAAAGATGTCATCTCTTCACTCCAAAACTCCGTCTTACAAACTCTGCCATGATGGATTTATGAAAGCGTCGAGTAACATGGACACAGAATTGAGAAAAGGGATACCGTCTAAGTAGAGATCCTGTGACTTGCTACATATTATGTAAATCCCCTTTCAGCTAGCTGGTGGGTCAGACATCTCAGCTTCTGGTTTAAATTGACAGTAGCTTCCCTAATTGTATTGTGCCATCCCCCGTGGTACAATTCCGTTGCACATGGAAATGGAAGCTTTTATTCTGTTGGTAACAAAATATAATCAACCTGAAGCAATGTTTATAGAAATATACGTTTTGGATTTGAAGAGTGGGTGTATTCAGACCTCTTGCAGTTTAAAAACAAACACTGTTAAAAGAAAGAAAATGATCCTTATATCTCTGGTAAAGAGGTACTATAGCTATTTATTCAATTGTTGAGCTTTAAAGAAATTTCTTTATTTCAGTTTTACCTCGGTGTTCGAAAGAGCAGTTTATATTTAAGGTGAATTATATTTTTCTTTTTCAGAGCAAATGAGTATCTTCTTTGATTCGTGGAATCTGCTCAGTATAAAATAAACATTTTGAAATACAATTTTGAATACAGTTTCAGACATTTTGAATATAATTTGTACTTAAGTATATTATCATGTGTGAAAATGTCTACAAGCTTTTTGACACCTCTTTACCCTATTCATATTAACAGAGACTTTTGACATAAGTGACCTTCTTTTATTCTATAACTTCACTTTCTCTCTCTCTCTCTCTCTCCCCCCCATCTCTCTCTCACTCTCTCTTTTCCTCTCCCTTTTCATTTTCCTCTCTCCTGCTTCTGTTATGGTTTCTAGTGATAGTCAGTGTAATGTTTATTGCATTATAAAAAACAACAACAACAATCCTGTATCTTCCTTTTAAATTGTCTTCTGCAAAAAAATGACAAGAAAGAAAAATGCAGTAATACAAACAATACTTAAGCCTCTTGCATGTAAAAAAAAAAAAGCCTGTATTTGCTATCAGACATTTTTCTCTACTATTTCTGAACTTTCTGTATCTACTGTTTTATTTTAGTGTTTAATTTTTAAGAATTCTGGTTCTGTAATGCACTATAATTTAAAGAAGAATCTTTAAAAAAGGGACTATAAATCTCATAAATAATAAAGCTGAAATCCAGCAAAAATCAAGAAGCTTTAAAAAATAATATTTTAGAAAATGTCCAAGAATTCCAGAAGAAACTATTTTATCAGTCAATCGATCTTAGCAAATAATGCCCAATCTTTCTTATCCAATGATAGGATGAATTTGTTTTGTGCTAAATGCCAGTTTAATGTTTTGACACAGGAAAGTTATATAAAGTTAACTGATAGAAAATAAATCATATTCTCAGTAGGTACACATTAGCAGCCTTAGAAAGAGTTGAAAGTATTTATATGACTGAACAATACCTACCACATCAGGAAGAAAATGATGTTGTATAATCTATGACTTTGAGGACAGCCTGTAAGACAGGAAGAAAATGAGAATGTAAATGACCTTAAGGATATAACAAGGCCAATGGAACCAGGATGATGAGAGAGGAAAAGGAAGATGAGTAGGTGCCCACCTCCAATCTCCTAAGATTATTCACATGTGAGGAAAACCAATAATCAAAAGCAATGAAGATGTGAAGGAAATGGGAAAAGATGAGTGTTATCTTGCAAGGAGTTACATCCCAGGGCATTACGAGTTTAAGAAAAATTATTAATAACAAATAAAAACATTTAGGAATTAATCAGGAGGACATTTATAATAATTGAAATGGTAGCAAGCAGTACATTTATTACATAAATGTGACTGCCTAGCCAGGAAAGCCTCTTTCAAGAAACATGAACATGAACATCCAGATACACAAAGGATTTAATGAGTTAAATAAATTATGGTATAGTCTTTTAATATAAAACTATGCACCTGTGGGCCAGGAGCGGTGGCCCACGCCTGTAATCCCAGCACTTTGGGAGGCCGAGGCGGGTGGATCACGAGGTCAAGAGATCGAGACCAACCTGGCCAACACGGTGAAACCCCATCTCTACTAAAAATATACAAAAATTAGCCAGGCATGGTGGCGGGCACCTATAGTCCCAGCTACTTGGAGGCTGAGGCAGGAGAATCACTTGAACCCAGGAGGCAGAGGTTGCAGTGAGCCAAGATTGTGCCACTGCACTCTAGCCTGGTGACAGAGTGAGACTCCGTCTCAAAAAAAAAAAAAAAAAAAACTTGTGCAGCTGTGGAAAAGAATGATAATGTTATTTATGTAGTAAAATGGAAAAATATTCAAAACCCAATACTAAATAAATAATAAAAAAATGAAGTGCTAAACATAGTGTGCTGTTTCATTAAAAGAAAACTACGTGTGTGCATATGAGTGTGTGTGTGTGCACCTGTGAGTGTGTGTGTGCATGTGTATGTGTACATGAAACACTGATAAGCAGAATAATGGCCCCCAAAGATGTCCATGCCTTGATCCTCCTTAAAACCTATGAACACCTTACATAGTAAAAGAAGCTTTTCAGATGTGATTAAGGTTAAGAAACTTGAGATGCAGCGATTATCCTGGATCACTCAGATATGCCCAATATATAATCATATAAATACTCAAAAGGGAGGACCTTTCCTAACTGTACTCAGAGGATCAGAGAGACGGCATCATGAGAAAAACTCTACCCACCATTCCTGTCTTTGAAGACTGGAAGAGCACAAAAGCCTAAAAATGTGGATGACCTCTAACAGCTGGACAAGGCAATGCAATAGATTCTGTCCTAGAGCTTCTGGAAAGAAATACAATCCTGTGGGCACCTTTATTTTAGCCCATTATGGCCCCTGTGAGACTTCTGACATACAGAACTGTAAGATAAATATATGCTGCTTTAACTTCATGGTTATTTGCTACAACAGCAATAGGAAATGAATCAACCGTATAAATATATGCATGCAGATATTTGCTTTTGCTTGCACAAGCTGTCTCTACAAATATACAAAATATTTTGGAAATATTGATTTCTTTCTTTTAATTTTTAAAGTTGATACATAACAAATGTACATATTTGGGGGTAAATATGATAAATCAATATATTCATATAAAATGTAAAGATGAAATCACTGTAATTGGAGCATCCTGCTCCTTAAGTATTTGTCTTTATCTTATTCTAGAAACATTCATGTTATTCTCTTCTAGCTATTTTGAAATATATACTAGATTACTGTAAACTATAGTTTACTATAGTTTATTTGATAGATACTACTGATCTATCAAATACTACGTCTTATTTCTTCTATCAAGCTATATATTTGTATCAATTAATCGATCTCCCTTCTCCCCTTTACCCTTTCCAGCCTCTGTAACCATAAATAAACTATCTTCATGAGATCCAGTTTTTCAGCTCCTACATATGAGTGAGAATATGAAATATTTGTCTTTCTGTGCTTGGCATATTTCACTTAACATAATGACCTTCAGTTTCATCCATGTTGCTGCAAATGACAGGGTTTTATTCTTTTTAATAACTGAATAATATTCCACTGTGTATATATACCCCATTTAAAAAATTAATTCATCCTTTGATGGACAGTTAGGTTGGTCCCATATTTTTGCTACAGTGAATAATGCTACAACAAACATGGGGGTGTAGATATCTCTTTGATATATTGATATACTTTCTTTCGAATATATTCCCCTTCCTCAATATGTTAGTTCTATATTTCATTTATTGAAGAGCCTTCATACTGTTCTCCATAGCAGCTGTAATAATTTACATTTCCACCAATAGTGTATAGGGATTTCCCTTTTTCCATATCCTTGACGGCATCCATTATTCCATCTTCTGATAAAAGCCATTTTAATGAGGTGAGGTGATACTATATTACGGCTTTGATAGTTATTTATCTGATGATTAGGGATGCTGAGCATTTTTTCATATACCTATTGGGCATTCTGATAAATATTTCCCTTAAGAACTATCAGTGTTTGCTCTATATACTTGAGAGCTCTAGTGTTGGGTGCGTAGGATTTTTTGTTTTGTTTTGTTTTGTTGAAGACAGGGTCTCACTGTGTCTCATGGAGTGCAGTGGCATGATGATGGCTCACTGCAACTTCAACCTCCCGGGCTCAGGCAATTCTTCTATCTCAGCCTCCCACATAGGTGGGACTGCAGGAGTGTGCCACCACGTCAGGCTAATGTGTTTTTTTTTGTTTTTTGTTTTTTTCTGTTTTTTTTTTTTGGTAAATACAGGGTTTCACCATGTTGCCCAGACTGGTCTCGAGCTCCTGGGCTCAAACAATCCACCCACCTTGGCCTCCCAAAGTGCAGGGATTGCAGGCATGAGCCACTGTACTCAGCCTGCATAGATATTTATAATTGTTATATTTTCTTGGTGAATTGACACCTTTATTATTATATAGTGGCCTTCTTTGTCTCTGATTTTTATAGTCTTTGATTTGTAGTCTATTTTATCTGACATAAGTATAGCTATTCCTGATCTTTTTTGGTTTCTAGTTTCATGGAATAGCTTTTTCCACCACTTCTCTTTCAGTCTATGTCTTTACAGGTGAAGTGAGTTTCTTGTAGGCAACATGTTGTTGAATTTTCTTTCTTTATCCATTCAGGCACTCTATATTCAGCGTTGTTATTTATAAGTAAGGACTTACTATTGTCATTTTGTTGCCTGTTTTCTGGTTGTTTTGAGGATCTTCTCCTTTCTTTCTCACTGTTTTCCTTTGTGGTTAAGTGATTTTCTCTGGTAATATGTTTTATTTGTTGCTTTTTATTTTTAGTGAATCTATTCTAGGTTTTTGCATGGTGGTTACCATAAGGCTTACAAAAAAAAGTCTTATAGATATAACAAGTTATTTTAAAGAGATGATGAATTATGTTAGATCACAAACACAAAAATAAAAAAAGCAAACAAAAACGAAAAAAGAAACCCTCTAAACTTTTACTCCATCCCCTCAATATTTTGACTTTATATTGTCTCAATTTAAATATTTTCTTGTTTCCTGTTAATTTTTCTCTTAACAAGCTGTTTTTGATATCATTTTCATAGATTCGCCTTTGGGCTTCATACTAGAGTTATGAGTGAACTGCACACCACAATTACAGTATTTTAGTATTCTGAGTTTATTAGAGAACTTAATTTTACAAATCAGTCTTATATTTTCAAATGATTACTTTTTGCACATTAGTGTTTATTTTTCTTTCAGATTGAATAATTCCATTGAGCATTTCTTGTAAGATGGGTCTGGTATTGGTGAATTCTCTCAGCTTTTGTCTGGGGAAGACGTTAGCTGTCCTTTATAGTTGAAGGATAGATTTGCTATAGACAGTATCCTTAAATGACAATTTTTTTTCTTTTAGCACTTCGAAAATGTTGTACCACTCCCTCCTGCACTGTACAGTTCCTAGTGAAAAGTCCATTGCCAGACAAATTGGGGTCTTTACGTTATTTGCTTCTTTTCTTTTGCTGCTTTTAGAATCCTCTCTTTGTCCTTGACCTTTGAGAATTTGATTATTATATGCCTTGGGGTAGTCTTCTTTGTGGCAAATCTGTTTGGTGTTCTCTGACTTTCCCATACCTGGATATGTATCTCCTTCTCATGTTTTGGAAAGTTTTCTGTTATTTCTCTGAATAGGCTTTCTACCCCTTGCTCTTGCTCAACTCCTTTAAACACCAATAAATCTTAAATTTGGTCTTTTGAGGTAATTTTCTATATTTTGTGGGGGATCTTTATTCCTTTTCACTTTTTTCTTTTTCTTCTCTGCCAATATATTTTCAAATAGCCTGTCTTTGAGCTCACTCATTTTTTCCTCTGCTTGATCTATTCTGCTGTTGAGAGCCTCTAATAAATTTTTCAGCTTAGCAAACATATTTCTCAGTTCCAAGATTTCAGTTTGATTTTCCAAAAAAAAAAACTAAATATCTTTGGTAAATTTCTCTAATAAGTTTCTGAATTGCTTTTTTTGTGTTATCCTGGAGATTACTGAGTTTCTTTAAAGGTGCTATTTTGAATTCTTGGTCAGAGAGACCATATATTGCTGTCTTGTTAGAGTTAGTCACTTGTTTCTTGCCTTTTGGATTTGGCAAGGCTATGGTTCCCAGTTTGCTGTTTTTTTGTGTGTGTATGTATGTATGTCTCTTTGCATTAAAGGATTATTTAGTCAAATCATCTCTATCTGGCTTGTTTTAGTTTTTATTGGATATGTGTTCTAAGAAATTCTTTGTAATTTATCTGTTGATTTTCTTTCTTTCCCCGCCCCCCTGCTGGGTTACTGCCTCCTTTTTGGCACTAGATGCTTTCTTAAGCCCAGGTTTGCCTCAATTCTGGCAAATGATCAGAGTGCTGCCTTTCCTAAATGGGGGATGTCCCAAAGGGGATGTCCAATAGCATGGGAAGGTTGGCTAGGGTGAGCTCTAGAATTAATCTTCTACAGTGTGGTGCTGCTGAATGTCCATTCTGATTTGGCATTACCTTTGGATGAGTTACACAGCAGAGTTTCCAGGGCTGGAGATGGCAGTCCCTCCTTTCCCCTTTGTCACTAGGTTTCCTCAGCGATATTTTTTCCTCCAGGCACTCTAGATGCTTCTCATGAGTTTGGCAGGGACAGGTCTCCTGCCAGCAAACTTAGGATGATGGGGAAACTGCTTATCCACCTTGATATCACTTTTTTCTAATGTAGAAGCTGTCAGTCAGGGGAAATTTTCCACATGCTTGCCACTAGAAGGACTGGGGGGAGGAATATCATGAATATGGAAGTCCACTTCTTTAACCATCTGCTCAAACTATTTTCATTTCCCTGTGGCCCTGGGAACTGTTTTCTCCTCATATTTGAAATCTGAGAGATTGCTGGTAATAATCTTGGCACTGTATATTTATATTTTTGGTTTTTGGAAAGAGGGGGAGTGAAGCCACCTTGTTTCTCCACTGCCATTTTGGAACTGGAAGTCCGGAAACATTTCTATTGAACAAGTATTGAATGTTAAGAGACAGATGTGCATAAGTGACTTGTTCAGTATATATTTTTGTACTGTTCAGATTTTGAGCCATTTAATGTATCTGTTTCCAAAATAAATGTAAGTAATTTAAAATATATGCAATAACATTGTCATTCCTTCCTAAATTATGAAAGGTATGGCGCATATCCAATTTGTGCAAAAAACCCATCATATTCTTTAATAAACTTGCAGAATTTTGGTGGAAAATATAATTAATTATTGGCCAGTCAAAAGATAGGAGTTTTGCTGAGATATAGCTGATTACTATGTCTTTACTTTAGTATTTTGATTTCTGTTTTATTGTGACTCATTCTTTTTCTGCAGCAACTGCTAATTATTTCAAGTAAATTTCAAGGCGAGTTAATTCAGTGTTATTCACCTAATCATTTAACATTTATCAGTGTCCATCAGTGTTAGAAATTAGGGATTTGGAGATGAATCTCATATAGTTTTTGGTGTCAAGAAGCTCCCAAAGAGATACATCCTCAAGGAAATAATTACAGTAAAGTTTGAAAAATTTCATAAGAGGAATAATATGGGATTTCAGAAGAAGAATCCAGAAATAACATTTTGGGAGAAAAATTGTGGCTTAGAATACTTCTGCTGGTAATAATAACTTGTCCTTTATGCAAATTAGTAAAAATAAAGATTCTTCTTCAAGACCCTTTATGAATATCTACTATAAAATTGTTGTAATAGAGATACAATTCTCTAATCACTACAAAGGAGATAGTGACTGATAGATTAGTGAAGTACACATATGACATCCCAGGTTGCAAGAGCAGTAACATTTTCTCCATAGGATTCCTCTTAATTTAATATCCAACAGTCTTCATTTCTCATTATCAGTGTCTTCTTATGTAGAATTTAAAAAATGGGAAAAAGTACTTATAGATCAGTCTAGCAATTTCGATTGCAAAAATGCAGATTTTCTCTTTTCAGGTAGAATAGTAGGTGATGCTGTTCCACAAAAAAAGAAAAAAACTTTATGACCCAAATTGTCAGTGTGATTCTAAACATTTTCTTATGTTAAATGCCTCTTATAATTAGAATAGGTGCCAACAACAAATGAAAAAATAGTTACATAGATAGCTTACATATTAGTTACATAGAGAGCTTGAGTCAAGATAGGACTGAGGCTAACAGCAAATTAACCATAAAAATAGGGTCTGATTACTGCTGCTCAAACTTAAGCATCTTCAGTATTAAGGTAGATTCAGGATGTTTGTTGATCCCAATGGGACATCAGGATGGAGGAAGGGGTGAGGGAGGATTCCCCAGAACAAGATGCACTCATACACAGAAACTTGGCATTTAACACTGTAATTTTCAAATTGAGAAGACCAATTTTAATTTTGTTTTATCTCCTTTTGGATCCTACTTTCTGGAGATTTGAAAATGTATTTATAGTGCTAGTAAAATCTGAACGTCTTTCCTCCTTCTCCCTAATTTTTGGATATTTCAGGAATTGGGATATGAATTATACAAATAAGAACCAGCCCCTTCTCCTGATCTGTGGGCAGCAATAGCCCCAAGGGACTGAAAAACAAGTGTTTTCTGCACTTCCTTTCAGTTTCCTAACAGCCTGTTCATGTACTTGTTCGGTAGGAAAAAGTGTTTTCTAATAACAAATCTCTATTATGTTAATAAGTGAGGACTAAACTCTGACCTTTGTCCTCTCTTGCCCAAATTCTTACCTGGGAGGCCTGGAGAGTCATGCCCTAGGAACCACAAAATCTCATCAGATGGGTTATATTTAACCCTATGTAATGTAATTTACTTTCCAACTTGACTGTGGCGTAACATCACAAGACAGGTATAAAAGACAATAAAAATATTTTACCCCAAAATATGTTTCTTTGCTGTATTTTAAAATGACCCTGCAAAGCCATTTTTTGTGGAAGAAAAGTTGCATCTGTAAAGAACTTCTACTAACATAACTGGATCTTTCCTCCTTCCAGGCCCTCACAATCTTGAAGAGATGAACTGAGAGTCTAGCACCTTTTAAGGCCTGAAAAGGAAAACTTTGCCATCTATTGTCTCTAAGGGGAGTTGCTCATGAGACTTTATTTATTATTATTTTTTTTTCGGATTTCTTTTTTTTTATATTATTTTTATACTTTAAGTTTTAGGGTACATGTGCACAATGTGCAGGTTAGTTACATATGTATACATGTGCCATGCTGGTGTGCTGTACCCATTGACTCGTCATTTAGCATTAGGTATATCTCCTAATGCTATCCCTCCCCCCTCCCCCCACCCCACAACAGTCCCCAGAGTATGATGTTCCCCTTCCTGTGTCCATGTGTTCTCATTGTTCAATTCCCACCTATGAGTGAGAACATGTGGTGTTTGGTTTTTTGTCCTTGTGATAGTTTACTGAGAATGATGATTTCCAATTTCATCCATGTCCCTACAAAGGACATGAACTCATCATTTTTTATGGCTGCATAGTATTCCATGGTGTATATGTGCCACATTTTCTTAATCCAGTCTATCATTGTTGGACATTTGGATTAGTTCCAAGTCTTTGCTATTGTGAATAGTGCCACAATAAACATACATGTGCATGTGTCTTTATAGCAGCATGATTTATAGTCCTTTTGGTATATACCCAGTAATGGGATGACTGGGTCAAAAAAATATGGAACACTTCACGAATTTGTGTGTCATCCTTGTGCAGGGGCCATGCTAATCTTCTCTGTATCGTTCCTATTTTAGTATATGTGCTGCCGAAGTGAGCACGAGACTTTATTTACATAATAAGAACCTTGTTCTCCACAATCCTTTATCTTAATCGAGATGCTACTTTCTATTTATTTCAGATCTTTAGATAATGACTTAACTGTTTCAACCAATTGCCAATCAGAAAATCTTTGAATCCACCTATTACCTGTATTCCCCACTCCCCTTTTTGAGTTGTCTCATCAATGTATACCCCATATGTATTGATTGATGTTCTAAATGTCCCCCCAAAATATATAAAACCAAGTTTCAACCCATCCACCTTAGGCACATGTTTCAGGACCTCTGGAAAATGTGCCTCAGGCCTTGGTCATTCATATTTGGCTCAGAATAAACCTCTTTACATATTTTACAGAGTTTGACTCTTTTTGTCAACATAAACTTATCTTCCTCTCAGGTTTAGAATTTCCCTTTCTCAGTCTTCATTGGACACTTATTTGTTAAGGCAACACTCTGAATAAATGACTAACCAATGTATAACTGTTACACAGGCATTCATTGCAAAAAAATTATTGAGCTTCTACTGTGTGCCAGGCACATTGTTGGATTGCAGGGTGCTCATAGGCTTCAAAAGACACTGTAGTGAGTCTGACTTGAGATCATTTCTCTTCTCTAAGACTCAATTTTCTCCTTTGAAATGAGAGAAAGAAGAGTACTGACTCTCACCTGTGCTTTTGAGTGTATGCATATCATTTTGCCCACCATTTAGCAAGAGGCAAATATGTGATTGTGCTTATTAAATACTTCCTTGAAATGTCAATGCATTGTATTTTCATGCCAGTGTGTAATATGTGGGAATGGGCTTTTTATTCCATTTAACACACAGTGACATTGTCTATTGATTTAATGAGGAAATTACACATGTTGTACTTTCCTATTTAGCAAAGGGTTTTGCATTAAAGGTATATCAAAGGAACACATTGCCATGGGTAGTTGGGTGCAGCACAGCCATATGGCAGAGAAAAGGCCCCACCAATCAAGCAGACGACCTGTGGTGTCTCAGACGAGGCATACAGAAAGGCATTTTAGGAAGCAGCGAAAGGGGTTAGCCACTGGGCAGCAAACATGTGTCCAGTAAATGGTGGCCTTAATACCTCAAATCCATTTACAGTGCCTATTATTTGACACTCATTCAAAATCCAGGGAATGTGTTTTGCAGTGACCTTAGATAAAAATGAGGGAAAGCAAATAGAGTAACTATTAACATAATTACAAAGAGACCTGTTCGATCTATGCTTCATATGCCCATATGGCCGGGTATTCAGTGGACTTCAGTAGTCACTGCTCTCCTAATAAGCCCTGTTAATTAGGTAATAGGAACATTCTCTCATTGTTGACAGCAGAGTTTTCTAACTTGCTCATATTAAACCAAGCTAATTTTGTTAAGCATTGAGATTCCAGATGGCCCCTAAGGTACACTCTGGTATGCAGGCAGGGGAATCAGTGCCTTTGTAATCCATGATCTACTTTTTTGAACTGGAAAAGCTGTTTTGGAAAAGATTATGTGGAAACCAAGAAATCAATATTCATTGTCTTATTTCCTTTCCAACAAAATTAGATAGTTAGATATTTGTATGCATGTATGGATTTGTGTGTTTACACGTCTGTATGTAAATGTGTATATGCAAAAAGGAGCTCATCCTCTCAGCCCAACGCTTTGAAGAGTGTGTGCTCCAGATTGAAGAGCAATTTGACGGCGCAATATTCATTGACTTTCTTTTCTCTCCATCTTTGCAGAAGCTGATTTTTAAAAAGGCAGGATATTAGAGCTGGAATGGGTTTTAGTATTTAGCTAACCAACACATTCAATTTGTATATGAGAAGACTAAGGACAAGAGGGAAATACCAATATAAGATCAAAAAATAAGTTAGTGTCGGAACCAGGAGTTAAACATTTTTCTCCTCCTGAAGAGCTAATCATGTACTTTTGTTTTTTAAAATAACACCTTCATTGAGTTATGATTTACATACCATCAAATTAATGCTTTTAAATTGTACCATTCAGTTGTATTAAGTGTTCTTTCTTAGCAATATCTGATACTATACCATCTACTCATCAGCACCTTTCTTGTCCGCAGGCCATATTTAAGATCTGAGAACAAAAGCCTTTAGTGGAAACCGTGATGATAATGAGATGATCATATTTTCTAAATGTAAGCTATCATTATGCACCAATAACTATGCTAAGTTCCAGTTCATGCATTCAACAAATTCTTTTGTTGAATGGCACTCAACTGCTATGTGCCAAGCACTGTTCTAGGCACTTTTTGTAAACCAAGGAGCCAAGCAAAGATCCCTGCCTTTATGAGGCAAGGGAAGAGAGAAATACACAACGTGTCAATTATATAACATTTTGAAAGATGTTAAGTGCTGTAGGAAAAAAAAGAAATCAGAACTAAGTAAAAATGCTGGCATCTCTAGATTTGTGTGGATGGGGCTGAAGAGGAAAGATTAGAATTTTGAAAAAGAAGGTCAGTGTAGGCCTCGCTGTGGAGGTGACATTATACATTTAAATGCTCAGAATAATCTTTTGAGGATGCACTTAAATATGTATTATTAACCTCTTTTAAAATTAATTCTATTGAAATATCACAGACACATACACACAAATGTCTAGCTCAGTGAATTTTCACAAAGTGAATATGCCTGCTAACATTGCTGGGTTGTTTTTTTTTTTTTTTTTTTTTGGCGATGAAAGAGAGAATAAGTAATGAGCCTAAGACCACATCACAAATAAGTGCCAGAGACTTAACACTTTCCTATTGACTCGGGTTATCTCAAGGAAGAGAACCTAAGGCTAGACTTCAGATTTGGAAAACTGGATAGAAAGAGAGGTGCAAGCGATGAAGTATAGAGTAGCTGGACTCTTTCACTGAACAGAAATATTTCAGCTTTCTAAATAACAGTGGAAGGGAATTTTGAACTAACTTTCTGGGGCATCTTGTCAATAGAAATATAGAGGGGGCTGCTATGCCTCAGAGTTACCACAGAGTGGCAGTGCTTTAGAGCTTAACTAAGTTAGCAATTGCATTCCAAAGTCCCCAGTTCAGCCCTTTTTTAGGCCTTTAAAAACAAATCACAGATCATAGGCTCTTATACAGAAAAACACTTACATTTGGGTGAAATCTACTTTTGTATGAAAATTGCAAATACACAGAGGCAATGCAACAGTCTTCGTTGCATATGCAATAGATATATCATTTATTTTAAGAAATAAAATGCAATAATTGCACAAAATTTGCAATTAAAGCTGTACCATAGGCTTTTTTTTGTTGTTTGGCTAAGCCAGAGTATCTGATGGCAAATCAACACTTTAACCAGGAAAAAATAGAAAGACCAGATTGAAAAAAGAAAGACAACTGTTTGAAGACATTGGAGACATCTAAGATTTGAAGGGTAAAGCTCTAAGAGAAGGTAAGCTCACAGAGGTGAATTTGCATTTTTGTTATTCACGCTGACCCAAGTTTCATAAAAAGACATTTGTTTATTCCTTAAATACATTGGACAAGAGGATAAGGAACCAAACCAACAACAGCTGAAATTTTAGTGGAGTTTTGGTTCTCTCAGTGTATTAGGAAGACCATCATTGGAGTTTGAGATCTGTCAGTGCAGAAGAACACAGGTAAATACATTGAGAATGGGAGTAAACTAGTGGCTAAGGGACATGCATATTTTTCAGTCCAAAATTCCACCTTAAGTCAGCCCAATCCCTCATTAGACTGTATTGATTTGCCCCTACTTGCCAAAGGGATAGTTAGAGGATAATCGAATCTTCTGGAAGGAAGACAACAACCTTCAAAGCCTCTACGGCATTTAAAACATAACATCTGGCATTCCATCAAAACTTAGAAGGCTAAATTAAAATAAGATCAAGATAATGGGAACAAAAAGCAGACCCTTATGTGATCTAGATAATAAATGTGTTACATGAACTTTAAAATAAGATTAATTAATATATTGAAGAGAAGAAAAATATAAGATGAAGCATTCTACCAAAGAACTGGAATCTTTGAAAAATAAGGACTGAAACAAATTTGAGAACTACAACAAGTAATAATTGAAATTAACAACTAAAACAAAAAATAATTAAACAGCATATTGGACCCAAATGAAGACAGAATAAGTGATCTAAAGGAAAAGCTGTAGAATATATACAACTGAAACTCACAAAGAGTAAAAAAAGGAAAACTACCACAAAAAAGTCAGCAACAAAAAAGTCTACAATGTGTAAGACAGCTATAGTACATGGTGAAAATGTCTGATGTGTATGTCATTGAAGGCCCATATGGGGAAGAAATAACAAGCCACAGGTGCTTTACCCAGTGAAGTAAAGGCCAAGACATTATCAAAAACTGATCAAAGACATCACCATACAGGTTCAAGAAATTCAGAGAATCTAAACAGGATAAACATGAGAAGAACCACTCCTTGTCACACTTCAGTCAAACTGCTGAGCACCAAAGACAAGAAGCAAATCTTAAAAGTAGTCAAGGGTAGAGGATAAGAGAGATCTATAGAGTAACCATAATACTTTCATCTGACTTCTAAATTGAAAAGACAAAAGCCACAATACAACTGGATACCACATTTTATGTGCAGAAGGGAAATAACTGGCAAATTTGTATGCTCAGAGACGATATCTTTCAAACATTAAGGAAAAACAAATTAAATTTCCAACATACAGAAACATATAATTTGTTGTCAGGAAACAAACACTGAAAGAAGTACTAAGGTGAGTACTTCAATGGGAAGTTGAGCACATATGAAAATGCAGCAGGAAGGAGTGAAGGGAAAAGAAAAAGTAAATATGTAGCAGAATCTATTCAAACATTGATTATACAAATAGTAATTTTATTGAAGTTTAGAATTTAATTGAATTTAATAATACAAAAGCTAAGAAAGGGTTCTATGGAGGTAAAAGATGAAAAGATCCTAGCATTATATTAAAAATGATAAATGCATTAATTTATATTAGGCTCTAATAAGTCAAGGTACGTATAGTGAAACTAGTATAAAAGTTGTAGGTGGGATGTGGTGGCTCACACCTGTAATCCCAGCACTTTGGGAGGCAGAGGTGGGCGGACACTTGAGGTCAGGAGTTCAAGACCAGCCTGGCCAACATGGTGAAACCCCGTTTCTACTAAAAATACAAAAATTACCCAGACGTGGTGGCACATACCTGTAATCCCAGCTACTTGGGAGGCTGAGGCAGGAGAATTCCTTGAATCCGGGAGGCAGAGGCTGCAGTGAGCTGAGATTGTGCCACTGCACTTCAGCCTGGGCAAGAAGTGAGACCCTATCTCAAAAAAGAGAAAAAAATGTAAATAACTGTAACTACAAAGCTAATAAAGGGGACATGAATTCCTTGAAGAATTGATTAATCTAACTGAAAGTAAGGAAGAAGATAAGAAAGGAACAAATAGCGTGTGAGACAACTCCTGGGTGAAAGGAGAATTTAAAATGAAAATTAGAAAACATGTTGAAATGGAAGAGTAATGTAATGTGGCATATCAAAAGGTGTGTAATGCAATAAAAGAGCTCAAAGGAAAATATATAGCCTAAATATATACATTTTAAAATAATACAAGCTTAATATCCATGATTTAGTCTTCCATATCAAAAGCTAAAACAAACAAACAAACAACAACAACAACAAAACAGAAACAAAGAAACTACGGAAATAAATGGAATGGGGAATACTTTACAATAGAGAACACTAGTAAACCCAGTTTCAGGAGTAAAATAAAGGGCATCATTAAAAATTCCACAGATATTGAAAAGAGGATATTACAATCAAATTTGTAATAAATTTGACAGATTTAAGATAAATTAGATGAATTGATAAATTTCTTGAAAAACAGTTTACCAAAACTGAAAAGATATAGAACTATTAAATTTTATAAATTATGTTATCTAGTAGACATTTTTAAACAATAATTCTATAAAAGTTAAATATGTAAATAAATATTTCTAAAACAAAAAAACTTCTAGTCTAAATGATTTTACTGGTTTATCCAAACATTTGAAAAAATAGCAACAAACTTATACAACCTCTTTCAGAGAATAAATATTCAGGTAACACTTCCCATCACAATATATGTGATCAATGTATGTTTATTATCAAAGCAAATACATGACTAACACAGATACCACATGTCAATATTTCTTATGAACATAGATGAACTAATCTGAAATATTTGTACAAGATACTAGCAAACTGAACCCAAAGACATATAAAATTTATAGTATATCATGACCAAATGAGATTTAATTGAGGAATACACACATAACATAAGATTTGAAACCAAGCACTGTAACTTTTTACATTAAAACATAAAAATAAAAATAAAGATAAGATAAAAATTATACGATTATGTAAATAGATACTGAAAAAATGATATAATTCAACAAGCATTTATACCAAAAGAAACTATAACAAACTAGAGATGAAATTAATATATTTTATTTATACAGCATATTTTAAAATTCAACAGCAATTTTCATATGAAATAGTAACATAAGTATTATCCTGCCCTGAATTTGCCTACTGGTCAAAGATGTATGCTATGCCTTTTCACCATTTTACTGAAAGTCGTAGACAGTGCAATTAGGCAAACATTTAATAAATGAATGAAGAAATTAGTAATAAACCAAAAAGAATAAAAATAAAAGGTATAAGAATTAGAAAAGAAGAAACAGATATATCATTTACATAGACATGGATGAGTATACAGAAAATCCAAAAAGATCTATACAATTGTTATGGCTTAGAAGCTATTTAATGCGAGCTTTATATAATAATTAATTCTTATATAATGCTACATCTATATCATGTATTCCTGTATAAAAGTAATGAATGATATATAAATAAATAAAAATACATACGTTTTATTTATTTATGTCCATATAAAATATAAATAAGTAAAATATAAATGCTAGCATTTAAAACAGAATAGGAAATACCAAGGGCCAAATACAATCAAAATTTACAAAATGTTGTCACAGAACATTATGTATTATTACTGAAAAAATTTCAAAAGATTCCATTAATAAAGGGATATACGATGTTTCCAAATTGGAAATTTCAAAATTGTAAGATTGACTTAAATAATGTGAAGATTCAATTTAATACCATTGAAAACTCAGCAAATATTCCTCTGTAAAATTAAAAGCTGCTTCTAAAATTCATCTGGAAATGAAGAGTACCTAGAATAGCCAAAATAATCTTTAAAAGCAAAGCCAGTGAACTCACGTTACCAGATATCCAGACTCACTATAAATCTAAAGTAAGCAGTTCACTGTGCTATTAACATAAGAATAGACAAATGGATCACTGTAACAGAATAGAGGCCAGAAGGAGACCTGATAGATTACCAGATCTGCAATATAGACACTATCGCCATCCAGTGGGGAAAACGATGGTCTTCAAAATAAATGGTACTGCTCAATTCAATACTCATATTTAAAAAATAAATCATTACATCACAACATGAAACAAAAATTAACTCCATTAGATTGTAGATGATAAAAACAAAACAATGCAACTGTATAGTAAAAAGTAGAGAATAGAATGTTTATGACCTTGGAGCAGACTAAAATTGTTTAAGTAAACCGTGAATAGCACTAACTAAAATGTAAAGATGGATAAAATTATAATTGTGCATTAAGAGTTTCTGTTTATGAAAAGATGCCATTAAGAGAGTAAAATGACCGCCCAAAGAGTATGAGAGTGCACGGACGCATGCACACACACACAACTTATATCCGTAATAAAGCGCTACATTTCAATAGAAGAAGAGACAATTTAATTACAAAAGAAAACCTGGCAAAAGACTTCAGTAGGCCATTTCTCAAGTAGAATATCCAAATAACCAAAAAATATTTCAAAAAGAACTCGTCAACATCAATGATATAACACTACACATCAACAAGAAGGATAAAATTATAAAAAAACAGAAACAAAACCAGAAGACACCAAATGTTGATGAAGATATGCAAAAGAAGAACTCTTATACAATAAGGTAGAAATATAAATTAGTAAAACTACTTTGGAAAACTCTCAGATAATATTTACTGAAGTTGGCTATACACATCCACTGTGACTGAGTTGTTCCTTCCTAGGCGCATTCCAACAGAAATGTGTGTATCTGTGGACTAAAGTGTTATTACAAAATTTACACCTTTAGTTTACAAAATGTATTGCAACACTATTCATAATACCCCTATATTGGAAACTTCTAGAATGCCCATCAACAATAGGATATATCAGTTGTCAAATATTCACATGTTAGTGTACTATACAGCAAAGAGAATGAATAAACTTCTGTTCTTTGCAATAATATTGATGACTCTCATTTAAAAAATCGAGAATAAACCGAATCCAAAAGATTATATATTATACACATCTATATATATCAAGTTTAGCATTAAGGCAAAATAAACCATGGTGTTAACAGTCAGAAAGGTAGTGGTCTTTAAAGAGAGGTGGAATGACTTGGGGGTGGTGGTGTTAAGCATGATGAGGGCTGTTGACATTTTCTTTTTTAGATTTGGGGGTACTTGTGCTTGTTAGTTACATGGGTGTTACATGTATAATGCGGGGAGGCTAGGGTTCTAGTGTACTAATTTTTTTTTTTTTTTAAGACAGAGTCTTACTCTGGAAAAGCTCTGGAAAGGAACATTTATTTTTTAAGGCCAAAATATTAAAAACATTAAATTTTCCAAAATACTCACTGCAACCTCCACCTCCCTGGCTCAAGGAATTCCCCTCTCAGTCTCCTGAGCAGGTGGGATTACAGGCGCACGCCACCACACCGGTTTTTTTGTATTTTTAGTAGAGACGTGTTTTCACCAGGTTGGCCAGACTAGTGTCAAACTCCTGACCTCAGGCAATCCGCCCGCCTCGGCCTCCCAAAGTGCTGGGATTACAGACGTGAGCCATCACGCCTGGCCCCTAGTGTCCTAATTTTTGATTGATTACACAGGTATTTTCCCTTTCTGAAAATTTCCCAAAGTGCACAAGAATGATTTTTGCCCTTTTCTGTATTTATGCTTGACTTAAGTACTGGTGTAGCTTTTCAATTATAGTATAATCAGTGGTGTCCCATCACAAGTTTGTGTATTCATATTTAAATTAATAGTCATTGATAAATAGTGCAAAATATATACTATTAAGCTTAAAGTTTAGCATTTAAGAAAGGTGGGCTCTGAAGGCAGATTGTCTGGGTTTGGATACTGGCTTCTTCACTTACTATATCTGTGATTGCAGGCAAAGTACTTAACCTTCCTGAGCCTCAGCTACTGTAAAATTGAAATACTAATAATTTCTTTCTCATAGGGAAGTTGTACAACCTAATGAAATGAACTTGCCAAGGGCTTCACATATCATAAGTATTTTGTAAACATTGGTTTTTATTAATTACTGAAAAACCACAGACTCTGATCCAGTTTTGCCATTGTATAAGTTGAATGACCTTTATCAAGTTACGCCCTGAGCTTTTATAGCCTCTTTAATACAATAACAAGATGATTTATTAAGTTTACAGAGTATGTGATAATTAAATTTGAGCCACATAAGAAAATGCTTTACAATCTATAAAACTATAATAATGAAAAGTATTATTTTAAGATATATTTTATTACAAAGATACATAAAAATATAAGACAAATTAAGGAGAAACAGTAATATCATCTGATTATTCAGAAAATTTTAAGTATAACTGTCAACGTTTTCTGATAAAGTCTGTGATATCCAACAGATAAACATTGGCATAAAATGTCAGAAACATGCATGACAATGACAATGACAGAAAAGGCTGACATAAAGATTAAAAACATCATTATGGAATATCAAGATAGTGCAATTTGTTACTTGCATTTCAGAGCCACTTCAAATGGGGTCCAAGAAGAAAGGAAGTAGAGATTTTGTTCCAGAGTTATAGCTGAGATTTCTTTTCTTTCATTTTCTGTTTTGATAATCTCCATTTAGGTATTAAGATACAATTGACTGTAAGACTAAGATGAATACGTATACACACATGCTAACTGAGAAAGATGAGTTGGTACTTGCCGTGATTTTCAATTGTTAGTGTTTTGATAGCACAAAATGCCATAATTGAGGGGAAATTGGGTTTTCTCCTGCTTCAAACAAAGCCAGTAGTTCTATGTACTCATTTATTTTAACTGATGTACACTTGGCAAATGCTAATCTCCAGGGTATATCTAATGCATGGCTATGACAAAAAACTTGACTCAGATCACCTTTTCTGTTTCTTTTTTTTCTTCTTTTGTAATAAACTACAAAAGTTTGGAGATACACACAATGCCCCTATAAGTTATCTCCCCCATAAACATAATACATTAAATTTCTATTCAAAAATGCAATCTTCACTTTCAAAATGAGGTTCATTATGAACTCCAACATTTAACGGAGATCTACGATGATAGAGTGTACAAATTTTACATTCTATTTTCAATTGTTAAACGTTAATTCAATGCAAAAAAACTGAGATACTATAATATGCAAACAATGGTGATTCACAGATAACTAAGAAAAACACAATTGTAGTATGTTTTAGGAAGAAAGAAAACAATATAAATAATAAAATAATAAAGTTGAGTAAAAAAATGAAGTGCTTTATATTATGAAAGAGAAAACCATCAGCATAGCATGGCCTCTGATTAACAAATGAGACAAAGATGTCTGTAAACCCTTCGTAGGATTCAAATTCAAATTATTTGGATACAACTAAATATAAAGATTAAAAACATTTTAGAAAATTTAACATGTTTTTAATATTTTGGCCTTAAAAAATAAATGTTCCTTTCCCTCCAAAAATTAATTGGAAGAGATTTTCATTATAAATGTTATAATTACTTGTTAAAAATTAAAATGTTGGGCCAAGTGTGGTGGCTCATGCCTGTAATCCCAGCACTTTGGGAGGCCAAAGCGGGCGGACCACTTGAGCTCAGGAGTTTGAAACCAGCCTAAGCAACATGGTGAGATCCCATCTCTAACAAAAACACAAAAAAATTAGCTCATCATAGTGGCGCACACCTGTAATCCCAGCTTTTCGAGAGGCTGAGATGGGAGAATTGCTTGAGCCTGGAAGGCAGAGGTTGTAGTGAGTGGAGATCATGCCACTGGACTCCAATCTGGGAGACAGAACAAGACCCCCTCTCAAAAAAAAAAAAATTGAAATACTATAGAAATCTATGATTTTAAATTATTTATGTTTAGTGCTATACTAAAGGAATAACTAGTGTTAATGGTAAACAAAAAAACCTCAAAATTTATAAATGCATGTGTGTGTGTGTGTGAAATACATGATTTTGCACAGAGTTCATATTAATATACTACTTAAAATCTCACATGTATGATTCATAATATAAATTGAATTTTAATTATAAGAATGTATATCTCTATATCACTATTTTACCTGCACAGCATTCTAGTTTAAAAATAAGAATTTATAGAATCCCTCATATGTTTATTTGGCTGTTATGATTCCTATAGTCATTTAAAATGTCAGGTATAAAAATAAATAATAAATCAGCAGTGAAAATTAGTGTGTTCCAGGGTATAAGTTAGGAGACATGAAGGAGGTATTTCTCTTCTTTGGGCTTTAGATTTGTGATTTATTTAATATTTACATATGCTAAAATTGGAAGACATGATTTAAGGGCCCTCTTTTTGGGGCAATCTATGAATTTAATGGTCACATTATTCTTTTAATAAACATATGCTTCAAATTATTTGTAATAGTCCCTAAATTGCAGCCCATTTTGTACATAAGTAATTTGATGATATATAAGAATATATACAATCAATGTGAACTATATATAGTAGATTAAAAAGCATAAATAGGAAATATAAAAATTAGAATGGAAGGTAAAGCCTCAGGGAAATCATATTTCAAGAATTCATGTCAGACTATACTTCACTGAGATGCAAATGTGGCTCTTAGTTGTTTGGAAGTCAGAACAACAAAGAAAACAGAGTCAGCACAGAATACCTTGAGAAAATTATAGTATCTTGAGAATATTTCAAAGTAACAAAAGAGAAACACAAATATTCACAGATACAGATATATAAGCACACACACACATTCACACACAAACTAAAAAATTGAAAAATGTCTTTAAGTAACTAAAGATTTAGTTTGTTCTCTTTCCTAGTTCCCAATTCTTATCTATGTGGTTTATGCATCTAACCATAAACAGTACAACTGTAATCAGAGTACATAAGTTCAGCACAAACCACTTTAGAAATTACCTTCCATAAAGGAAAGTTTTGGACAGGCTAAAGGTAAATGGCGGAGATCCTGTAGTCCATGAGCATAGAGGTGGGAGTGGGATTTAAAATTAACACAGTTTATTTCAATTTCCTCTGGTTACTGTGGCTATTTGGAATCTCAGATGATTCCAATCAGCTGGAACCTTGCACCAGCTGCTCTGGGTGGCTAGTAGAAGCATGCCATTCACCACAGCAGTGACTGAAGGAATTGAGCTAGGAAATGCTGGGGTTATGCTGCCCGCTAAGATGGGAGGCCACTGGTGAAAACAGATCTGAAAAGTGGTTTCTCAAAGAGATGTGGTTGGCATTGGGGCTGAGATAGTGACCGTGTTAGCAATGGTTTTAGAAGAGGCAATTTGGATATAATATAACTATTTTTTAAATCTCAAAGTTATAAAAAATAATGGAAAGATCTGTCCCATCCCAATACTAGGAAAGATGATTCGCTACATTAGTTGTAGCTGGCATCTGACAGAAAGAATTCACAAAAAGAAGGGGAAAAACCAGCAACAACAAAAATTTAAAAAGATATTTTTCATGGAACATCAATTACTACAATTTTATCTTACTGGCAAGCTGGATAGCTGTTTATGGTTTCAGTTCAGACATCCACAGACAATATAACAATATTAATAATGATAAACAGATAAATCAAAAACAAGTAAAAACACAAAACAAATAAACCATGTTGTATTTTCGAGTGGCACGGCATCTCCTTTCGTGCACATTGGCTGGGATACTCAACTAATAACAAGATCCTCATCCTGAAAACTACAAGTATTTTTTTAAATGTGTTCCAACAGTATACAAGGGGGAATAAATTATTAAAAATATATTAGATTTCTTTATTTCATAACCCTTCTAAATCACTTAAAAAACAGAAAGGCATGTAAAAAAGAGAAAAAATAGCATAAACCTGAATGTAGAACTCAAGAAATGAAAGGAAAATATAATCATTAAAATATCTGCACGGAATAAAAATACATTTTAGCCACATCTGTTTTGTTCCCTCCATAAAATAACAAGAAAGTGGTTTTAATGATTTGACAGACAATACACAGTAGGTTATCATCTCAGAGATGAAAGAAAAACCTGGATGAGAGGTAAACAGGAGCAAAAAGGGATTGAAGAACTGATTATATTTACTATATCGGTAAATATTTACAGGCGGCACAAATTCTGCACATAATTGACTTAAGAATATGGAAAACAAGTTTAAGGAAGTATCTCAGAGTGAAAATAATTAGAGATAAAAATAAAAGGAAATTATTATCATCAGTTTATTTCACTTATTCAGGAAAACTGAATGATTGGAAGGGTAAGTAGTGGCTGGTCAATATTTATACAGAATATTGTTCTTTGGCTACAGAAAAGCTTAAATCTACAGCCTGAATGATCACAATATATTAGGACCAACTACTGAAACAGGACTATCAAGTGTATCAAGTAATATTCATTACTTAATGAAAATTTCAAATTCAAGGTAGAAGAGTTAATCTAACAATTGTGTGGAAAATATTAGATATAAACAAAAAATCTTACTTCAGACTTTTTATCTGCACTACCAGATGCCAGAATATAATGGAGTAACATTTTTTTATTATTGTGGTGCAAAAGTTATGAACTCCAACTTCTCTTCACAAATTTTGATTCTTATGTAATAACAATACAAAGATATGTCTAAGCTCCTCAATCACGTAGAAAATCTGATTATTATATGCTTTCCAGAAGATAAAAACTAAGAAAACAACAATAATTGGAGATATTTAATCTAGCTAATTGATGGATGAATCAAATTCAAGACCCCAAGAACAGTGTAGGGATATTTGTATGAAAAACTGATGATACAGAATGAAACCATTAAAAGAAATAATAATTATTTAATTATATCATTGAATATATTATTAAAAAGCTAAAAATATAATAAGTTTTAAAGTAGTACTATTGCAGGACTTTAGTTCAGCTAAAGACAGGGTTCTTGTCCTACGGCCACGAAAATTCAAGTTCTCAGACAATTCGAATAGTAAGACAGGGTTTTATTGGGTGAAAAGGAAGAAAAGGGGGAAACAGAGCCTCTCCACAAGGCCAGAGCTCCTCTTGGTGCACTTCCAGCCTCGCCCTTTGAAACCCAGGTTCCACACAGGAAGAGACGGGGCCAAGCTCCTCCCCACTGCAAATGGCGGGAACTTCCTGAGGCTCCACCTCAGAGCACAGGACGGCTGAAGTTTTGCCAGAGAGCCCCTCCCACCTGTCTGTCTCAGTACTTGCAGAAACTTTTATTTTAGCGTCAGGGGTACATAGGCAGTTTTGTTATATAGGTAAATTGCATGTTGCAATCCAAAGATAGAGGTGGTCTGTGGGTGGCTTTTGTAGTTCATTTTTTCTGGAGCCACATCTTCTTAATTACATCAATGTGAAATGATAGCCTCTAAACACCATTCAGGCAACTTAGCATCTATGAAATTGAGACGATAATCTTAAATCTAAATTGCTAGGAATTGTGTATCTGATTTTAAGTTTTTAACAGAGTATTTTTATAGCTAAAACCAGAAAAGACATAAAGGTTACTCTAAGTCAATGGAAGACATGAACTTAAGCCAAGTGGTAGGACTTACAAGCAATTCTGCCTCAAATATAGGGCATATCTCAGTTTTTATGGACAAGAGAAATTTTTAAAGTTTTTCTACTTTTGTTACCCAAGTATCTCCATTCTATTAACTAAAAAATGTTTTATGATAGAAATAAAATGTAAATAAGCTAACATCTAACAATAGGATAATTATTTTAATTTTATTGCATGTCTCGTCTCTCACAGAAATATCAGCAGGGTCCAAATGGTGGCCCTTGGGTCTCTCACATGATGTGTGCGTGTGTGTTTGTGTGTGTGTGTGTGTGTCTGGGTGGAAGGGGTTGGGGAGGGAGAAGTGTTGTAAAAGGAAATTAAAGAAATTGGGTAAAGTTCCTGATCTTCACTCACCCAAAACTTGGACTTAGCAAATAGAAGAAGAGAGAGAAGCAGGCAAGTGTATAGATAATTTTGGATAGAAGTTAAGAATTACATTTGGAGAAATGAGAAACCAATTTAGGAATATAGATGGGGCTGGAGTTTTAAGAGCTTTAGATATAGGCCACTGAGCTTACACTTTTATCAATTTTAGGTCGGTGTTTCTTAACAATAGCTTCCTCTTCCAACCCTGATAACGTATCTGCTATGTAATGTCCCATATTTGAACCCTTCTATGGACATTAATTAAATATTTTTAAAATAAGATAAAATAAGACAAAAAAAGAGGTCTATAAGGTCCCTTTTTTCCTCTCTAACTCATCTTGACATGTTAGGTAATAATCAAGTTGAGAATTGCTGCTGTACTCAATGTAAAATAATAGTAAATAACCCCATTATTACAAATCATCCTACTCAGAAAAAACAAAATGCTGGCTGTATTATTTGAAATAAAATGGATAAGTGTGTGGTAAAAATGGTGTTTTATGGCTTTTCAATTGCTTATTTACTCACACTGAAAAATAGAAACATCAGAAAGCAAAGGCCATAGGCAAGAGTTAAGAAGCTCATTCTTCTTGGTTTGCCTGAGATAGTTCTGGTTTATATCAATTTTCTTGTTGTAATTAATAATAGTCATCCCTTAAACTCTCAAAATGTCCCAGGTTAGGCTTGGTGTGGTGGCTCATGCCTGTAATCCCAGTTCTTTGGGAGGCCGATGTGGGACAAACACTTGAGCCCAGGAGTTTGAAACCAGCTTGGGAAACATAGTGAGACCCTATCTCTTTAAAAATAAGTTCCAGATTATAAATTATGTTATCACCCTAGCAAAGAATGATCTTAGTAATTTTTTTCAAAATATTTTAACACAGAATGAAATATGATGTCAAAATTTTATGTATATGGATATTTAGATACATTTTAAAGCCTCAAATAAGTCTATTAAATATATAAAGCATATATAGAAATCTAATTTTGAAGAAATTTTCATTTTAAAGTTACTTTCCTCATTTAACTGTTTGTCTTTGGAATGAGCACCTTCAATTATTTGGCATGTGATTTAACCTGCACATCTTTCTTATGTTTGCTATAAAACATGTTCCCCCGTATCTTTTGGCTGTGTCAAGATTAACATGCTCTAGTTAGAAGCTAGAATGTGGCAAGGAACAGTATTCAGTATCCAGAAAACTGGGCTCTGGCATTTACCTGAGTTATGCTTCTGTCCTATGGGGACTTCTACATTTAGACCAAGAGAACTAATATCCAGTGAAACTGCATCCTGGAAGGCATATGGGTAGCTCAATTCTGTGACTTCTTTCTTCCTACCAGTGATCTAGGGGCTGTACTTAGCGGGTTCTCGTGATATCATGGTAGAGAACCGATGCTTTTAAATTACTTGCTCTGGGGCACCACTATACTCAAAATGAAATGGCATATTTGTGCAATCTTTCTAAAAGAGAATTTTCCATTTATTGAACACAATTTACAAGTGAGAACATTACCATTACTACAAACAACAATGACACCATCAGTAATAATAGCAGCCTGTGACTAGCAACTCTATATCCAGAATTTCATCTGAAGGAAAGAAGTAGAATAGCATGCTAACAGTTTCCTGTGTGAACATAAATCACACTAAATATTTTTTAAAAGAAAAAAATGAAAGAGAAAAAGAAAAAGGAATGGATAGATACGAAGAGAAATAACTTCAAATACCTCAAAATAGAAAAATTATTGAATAATTCACGTTAAGCCATGAAATATCATGTTTATAAGCAGTGTATTTTATAGAAAAATGGTCATGACATAAATATCTGTGCCCACGTAAAGTTAATATGGAAAAAGAAATTCACATTTTCTATATACTGAGAGTTCCAATGGTAAAATTGTGGGCGTTATTTATTTTCCATATATTTCTTAAGAACTTTCAAATTTTCTATAATAAGCATTAGCTACATAGTCAGAATTTTAAAATATTATTTACAACATAAGTATTTTTTATAATAAAACTGTATAAAGAAGTGGCATTTTATTGTCCCAGATATTTATTGTAAAGCAACCTGCCATTTACAACTTAAATGTAGGGAAAATATTCCATCCCGTTGAGTTCAGCGTGATTGAGTTCACCTGTGTGATATAAAATGCATTTTCTATTAGTTTGTGTGGCCATAAAGTCAATAAAAGGAACAGCAGTCTTCCCCATAGAATGCTCACCTACTGTAGTTTTCAGCTTATTATATAGCAAAGAGGAACAAAATACTCATAGTAACAATGTATTTTTAATAGGTTCTCAAGCTGTCCCTTTTACAAAGAGTGGTGGCTGAATACAGATGTGGCCGCTGTGAAGTTTTATATAGTTGTATGGGCTGAACAAAAACCAGGTAGGGAGACATTTATCTAACACAAATGCGTGGGCTCTTCAGGCATACAGCCTACTGATTTTCCAATGGGTTACTAGTTCTGTTTTCCCTGAATGTGGCCCAAATGTTGTGGGCAAAATGCTTTTTGGAAAGCAACACAAAGATTATCAAACATAAATGTTAGAAATAAAAAAGGATATGCAAGAGAATTGATTAATTCACAAAAAAATCATTGCAAAGACAAAGGGTAAATATCACCATACATTCAGATGAGATAGATACTCATTAATTTAAATTTAACATTTTAAATGTGTGGTTAAGTTTAAAATTAGATATAATGACCTACAATTACATTTGGAAAGCGTGTTTCCTCCTCCTAGTGGCTGTATATGAGATTTTAAAAATTTCCTTTGTCCTACTCAAATCCTACAATTTCAGAGCTCATTCCAATATTCTCTTTTATCTGAAGATGGTATAGAATTCCTCAAGCCAATTAAATGGTGTCTAGATGAAGCAAAGGTTGTCAACTAATGTAAAATCCTATAGAGATTGGGCAGTTAAAATTAAGGGAGGAGGACTTAATGTTTGCTGTCTCCAATTCCTAGTTTATCTTCCAATGTTTTACTTAGGATGAGTGCCGAAAAAAATATTTCTCTGCTATAACAAAATGCAATAGTGTTAGAGGATATTTAATGGTCACTTAATCTTTTAATGCATGGAGACAATAGGGCGTGGTGGGGATTACGGCAAATTAGAGAGGATTCCTATCAAAGAGAAGGTCGGGAGAATACTACTCAGTCCAGTGTTGTGAGAGCTCCAGATATTTTAGGAAATCCTCAAATCCAAGTCAACATTGAGAATAAGGAAATTTTATTTTACAACATAACATAAGGTGGAATTTTACACTGTAAAACAAAATGTAGTATGATGTGTGGAACATTCACTTACATTCCCTGACCTGATCTTGAATATGGAACTTACATGTGGATGGTTCAGAGACAGTGTATGTCATGGTTAAAAGCATGAACTCTGGAGGCCAAGTATCCCTGATACAATGTGAACTTTGCCAGCCACAGGCAGTTTAATTTCAGGAAAATGATTGCAGTTACTATATTATTGTGGGAATTCAATGAGCTAACATAAACACAGTCCTTAAAAGAACACATAGTACGTATTAGGAATTATTTCATTACTGACTAATTGGATAAAAAGGAACCTGCTAGATTTTTTCTTCCGATGGGCAAGGAAAGGCATTATTCATTTATTTATCTCTAGATTATAACAAAAATAGGAGCTCAGAAAAGTTTTGTTGATTGTGGAATTGTGGAAAAAAACAGCAATATAGAGTTGGAAAGACCTGAGCTTCAACCACTGCTATAGTACATAACAATTGTGTGACCTTGTACATCACACTTTGTGAAAATTGGGAATAGTGATACCCAACTTTAAATGAGTAGTAATGAAGATTAGAGTTAAAATATGTGTGGTAGGTAGTATGGCCTTTGCCCTTTGGTACTACCCCTGTGATTATGTTACTTTACTTGGCAAAGGAATTTTGCATGTGCAATTAAGTTGATTTTAGTATAGGAAGATTATGAGGCTGAGGGTAGACTAATCGATTCACACAAGCTCTTTAAAAGCAGTGTTTTCTCCTGCTAGTGGCAGGAGGAGGCTGAGATTTGAAGCATGAGACAGACTTGATATCCTGTTGCTGGCTTAGGGGGGGGTTGGAAGAAGGAATTCAGGAGGCTTCTAAAAGGAGAGAACAGCCTCCAGCTATAAACCAGTAAGGGAATGGGTACCACATATCTACATCTACATAGAAGGAACTGGATTTTGCCAACAACTTGAATGAAACTGAAAACGTATTCTTCCCTAGAGTCTCTGGGTAAGAGTCTAGCAGGACTGAAACCTTGATTTCAGCCTTGTGAGAACTCCAAGCAAGAACCCACTTGAGCCTGCCTGGACTTGTGAACTCTGCCCAATTTCTGAACTGTGAGCTGCTATATGGGTGTTCTTGAAGCCACTAAGTTTATAGTAATATTTTACACAGCAGTAGAAAGCTAATATACCATGTAAATTGTGTGACGCTTAGTAGCTACATATTAAATGTTAGCTATTATTGCAATTAAATATTTGTTCAGTGAATCAAGATTGAGCATTTGGTGTTAAAATTCTTCCAACAGACAAAATTACCCTAGATATAGTCTCCTATTTATTTTCTCCTCTTAGCCTTCTGAATGCTGAGATTAAAAATAGATTACAGAAACAAGAACAGTAAGACACTGGAAGGGATGTGGAGAAACAAAAGTAAATCAACTATTCCTAGGATAATTAAATCACTCAAGATATCCCTTTCCTAGAAATCTTTAGTGGCAGAACTAATTGATACTTTTTTGAGATTGTTTTTGACATATCTATTTTTTCCTGAATTGGTTGGGAAAAAATCTTCTATTTTCAGAATTGTATGTTTTATTGCTCTATTGGAATAGTTCATGCCTTTTTAGAATTGGGGTTGATCCAGGATAGGCATAGATGTGAACAGTCTAAGGCATCCTGTGTGGATTTGCCACTCTGTACCTCCCATGCCTAATACATAGTAGGCGCTCAGTAAATATTTATGAAAAGAATGCATCCTGGGGCTAATTTCAGGCTCATGGTTTTGGCAACCTTTTTAAGACCACTTAGTTTAGTGTTTGGCCACAGAAGGTCCTCAATAACCTTAATGAAATAAATGAATAAATTGATGAAATTTTTCTGTCACCTCTTAAAACCATGGTATTCTCTCCTTCTTTACACACCTCTCTTCCCTGCCCTCTATTCCATAATTTTCCAAATTACGTTTCTCTAATTTTCCCAAAGTAGCTGAGAGTATTGCTAAAAATTGCTCCCTTTGATCATACTTTCAGAGTTAATATCTCCTTTCTTTTAAAAATGTCTTATGTGTTTTCATAATACAGAAAATCATTTAAATGTATTGTTGGTGTCATCAGAACTTCTAAGAGTGTGATACGAAGGCAGAATGTGTGAATCACTGGTGTAAAATCATCCAAAGCTGTATCTCTTAAAATTAATTTAAAATGAAGTATTAATAATTTTGGTAAAATATATCACTACAATTATTAAAGTACATATATTTTATTTTATTAATTTAACTTTTATGTTCAGAGGTATAAGTGCAGCTTTGTTATATAGGAAAACTTGTGTCATGGGGGATTGTTGTACAGGCTATTTCGTCAACCAGGTATTAAGCCTAGTATCCATTAGTTATTTTTCCTGATCCTCTCCCTCCTCTCACCTTCAACCCCTCAACAGGCCCCTGTGTTCATTGTTGCCCTCTTTGTGTCCATGTGTTCTTATCATTTAGCCCCTACTTATAAGTGAGAACATGCGGTATTTGGTTTTCTGTTCCTGCATTAGTTTGCTAAGAACAATGGCTTCCAGCTTCACCCATGTGCCTATACAGGACATGATCTCATTCTTTTTATGGCTGGGTAGTATTTAATGGTGTATGTGTACCATATTTCCTTTATACAGTCTGCCATTGATGGGCATTTAGGTTGATTCCATGTTTTTGCTATTGTGAACAGTGCTGCAATGAACATATGCATGCCTGCATGTGTCTTTAGGATAGAATGATGTACATTTTTTTGAGTATATTCTCTTTAATGGGATTTCTGGGTCAAATGGTATTTGTGTTTTTATCTTTGAGGAATCGCCACACTGTCTTCTACAATGGTTGAATGAATTTACATTCCCACTAACAGTGTATGTGTTTGTTTTTCTCTGCAGCCTTGCCAGCATCCGTTATTTTTTTTTTTGAATAGCCGTTCTGACTGCTGTGAGATGGTATCTCATTGTGGTTTTGAGTTGCATTTCCTTAATAATCAGTGATGTTGAGACTTTTTTTGCATGATTGTTGGCTACATGTATGTCTTCTTTTGAAAAGTGTCTGTTTATGTCCTTTGCCCACTTTTTAATGGGGTTGTTCCTTTTTTGTTTGTAGATTTGTTAAGTTCCTTATAGACGCTGGATATTGGACCTTTGTCAGACGCATAGTTTGCAAAAATTTTCTCTTATTCTGTAGGTTGTCTGTTCACTCTGTTGATAGATTCCTTTGCTGTGCAGAAGCCCTTTTGTTTAATTAGATTCCATTTGACAATTTCTGCATTTGTTGCTTTTGGAGTCTTCCTCATGAAATCTTTGCCTGTTTTCCTATGTGTAGAATGGTATTGCCTAGGTTGCCTTCTGGGGTTTTTATGGTTCACGGTTTTACATTTAACTCTTTAATCTATTTTGAGTTGATTTTTGTATATGGTGTAAGGAAGGAGTCCAGTTTTAATCTTCTGCATATGATTAGCCAGTTATCCCAGCACCATTTATTGAATAGGGAATCCTTTCCCCATTGCCTGGTTTTGTCAGGTTTGTTAATATCAGATAGTTGTAGATATGCAGCTTTATTACTGAGTCCTCTATTATTTTTCTGTTGATCTATGTATCTGTTTTCGTACCAATAGCAAGCTGTTTTGGTTACTGTAGCCCTGTAGTATCGTTTGAAGTCAGGCAGTGTTATGTCTCCAGCTTTGTTCTTTTTGCTTAAGATTGCCTTAATTATTCGAGCTCTTTTTTGGTTTCATATGAATTTTAAAATAGTTTTTTTTCTAGTTCTGGGAAGAATGCAAATGGTAGTTTGATAGGAATAGCATTGAATGTATTCAATATGTTTTGGGCAGTGTGGCCATTTTAGCAATACTGATTCTTCCTGTCCACGAGCATGGAATATTTTTCCATTTGTTTGTGTCATCTCTGATTTCTTTGAACAGTGTTTTCAGCTCTCTTTGTAGAGATCTTTCACCTCCCTGGTTCACTGTATTTCTAGGTGTTTTATTTTTGTGTGTGGCAATTCTGAATGGGATTGCATTCTTGATTCGGCTCTTGGATTAACTATTATTGGTGTATAGGAATACCAGTGATTTTTGTACATTGATTTTTGTATCCTAAGACATTGCTAAAGTTGTTTATCAGCTTAGGGAGCTTTTGAGCTGAGAATAGGGGATTTTCTAGATAGAGGATCATGTCATCTGCAAGCAGGGAGAGGTTGACTTCCTCTCTTCCTATTTTAATGCCCTTTATTTCTTTCTCTTGCCTGATCGCCCTGGCCAGGATTTCCAATACTATGTTAAATATGAGTGGTGAGAGAGCATATCCATGTCTTTTGCTGGTTTTCAAGAAGAATGCTTCGAAATTTTGCTCATTTATTATGATGTTGGCTTTGGATTTGTCATAGATGGCACTTATAATTTTGAGGTATGTTCCTTCAATGCCTAGTTTATTGAGAGTTTTTGTTTAAACATGAACTGGTGTTCAATTTTATCAAAAATCTTTTCTGCATCAATTGAGATGATCATGTGGTTTTGTCTTTAGTTCTGTTTATGTGATGAATAATTGATTGATTTTTGATTGGCATATGTTGAACCAACCTTGCATCCCAGGGATAAAGCCTACTTGATCATGGTGGATAAGTTTTTAATGTGCCACTGGATTCTGTATGCCAGGATTTTATTGAGGATTTTTGCATCAGTGTTCATCAAGGACATTGGCCTGATGTTTTTTTTTTTGTTGTTGCTGTGGCTCTGCCAGGTTTTAGTATCAGGATGATGCTGGACTCATAGAGTGAGTTGGGGAGGAGTTACTTCTTCTCAATTTTCTGGAATAGTTTCAGTAGAAATGGTACCAGCTCATCTTTGTACATCTGGTGGAATTCAGCTGTGAATACATCTGGTCCTGGCTTTTTTGGTTGGCAGACTATTTATTACAAACTCAATTTTAGATCTCATTATTTGTCTGTTCAAGGATTCAATTTCTTCCTAGTTCAGTCTTGGGAAGGTATATATGTCCAGAAATGTTTTAATTACTTCTATATTTTCTAGTATATGTGTATAGGGTGTTCATAATATTCTCTAATGGTTGGTTGTTTTCCTGTGAAGTCAGTGGTAATATTCCCATTGTTATTTCTGATTGTGTTTATTTGAATCTTCTCTCTTTTCTTCTTTGTTAGTCTTGGAGCAGTCTATCTTATTACTTTTTTGAAAAAGCCAGCTCTGGACTTGTTAAACTTTTAAATGGTTTCTTGTGCTTCATTCTCCTTCAGTTCACCTCTGATTTTGGTTGTTTATTGTCTTCTGTTAGCTACTTGTTTGCTCTTGGTTGTCTAGTTCTTTTAGTTGTGATGTTAGGTTGTTAACTTGAGATCTTTCTAACTTTTTGAGATGGGCATTTAGTGCTATAAATTTCCCTTTTAACTGCATTAGTTGTGTCCCAGAGATTCTCATATGTTGTACCTTTGTTCCCATTATTTTCAAAGGATTTCTTGATTTCTGCCTTAATTTCATTATTTACCCAAAAGTCATTCAGGAACAGGTTATTCAATTTTCGTGTAATTGTATGGTTTTGAGTAAATTTCTTAGTTTTGATTTCTAATTTGATTGTGCTATGGTCTGAGAGATTGTTATGATTTCAGTTCTTTTGCATTTACTAATTATGTTATTGAGTTTAGAGTATGTGCCATGTGGTGATGAGAAGAATGTATATTCTGTTGTTTTTGGGTGGCGAGTTCTGTGGCTTTCTATCAGGTCCATTTGATCCAGTGCTGAATTTAGGTCCTGAATATCTTTATAAATTTTCTCTCTCAGTGAACTGTCTAATATTGTCAATGGGGCGTTAAAGTCTTCCACTGCTATTGTGTGGGAGTTTAAGTCTCTTAGTCGGTCTCCAAGAACTTGCTTTATGAATCTGGGTGCTCCTGTGTTGGGTGCATATGTATTTAAAATAGTTAGATCTTCTTGTTGAATTGAACGCTTTACCATTATGTCATGCCCTTCTTTGTCTTTTTTGATCATTGTTGGTTTAAAGTCTGTTTTGTCTGAAACTTGCATTAGAATCCCTGATTTTTCTGTTTTCCATTTGCTTGGTAGATTTTTCTCCATCCCTTTATTTTGAGTCTATGTGTGTCACTGCATGTGAGATGCATCTCTTAAAGATAGCACACCCTTGGGTCTTGCTTCTTTATCCAGCTTGCCACTCTGCCTCTTAACTGGGACATCTAGCCCATTTACATTCAAGGTTAGTATAGTTACGTGTAGATTTGATCCCGTCATCATGATGCTAACTGGTTATTTTGCAGACTTGTTTATGTGGTTGCTTCATAGTGTCACTTGTCTGTGTATGACAGTGTTTTTTGGTAGTGGCTGGAAATGGTCTTTCCTTTCCATATTTAGTGCTTCATCAAGAGCTCTTGTAAGACAGGTCTGGTTGTAACACATTCCCTCAGCATTTGCTTGTCTGAAAAGGATCTTATTTCTCTTTTGCTTGTGAAGCTTAGTTTTACCAGATATGAAATTCTGGGTTAGAATTTCTTTCCTTAAAGAATGTTGAATATCGGTCCCCAGTCTCTTCTGGCTTGTAGGGTTTCTTCTGAGAGTTCCACTGTTAGTCTGATAGGCTTCCCTTTGTCGGTGAACTGACTTTTTTCTCTAGCTGCCTTAACATTTTTTTCTTTTATCTTCTTGGAAAATCTGATGATTATGTGTCTTGGCGATGATCTTCTTGTGAAGTATCTTATTGGGGTTCTCTGCATTTCCTGAATTTAAATGTTGGCCTCTCCACCAAGCTTGGGGAAGTTCTTGTGAATGATACCCTGAAATATGTTTTCCAAGTTGGTTCCATTCTCCCTATCTCTTTCAGGGACACCAGTGAGTGGTAGATTTGGTCTCTTTAAATAATCCCATATTTCTCAGGGGTTTTGTTCATTCCTTTTTATTCTTTTTTTTCTCTGTTATGTCTGTCTTATTTCAGAAAGCCAACTTCAAGCTCTGAGAATCTCTCCTCCACTTAGTCTATTCTGCTACTTATATTTGTGATTATTGCATTATGAAATTCTTGTAGTATGTTTTTCAGCTCTGTCAGGATGGTTACATTCTTTACTATAGTTGCTATTTTGTCTGTCAGCCCCTATATTATTTTATCATGATTTTTAGCTTCCTTGGATTGGGTTTCAATATACTCCTGTACTCAATAATCTCCATTCCTATCCATATTCTGAATTATATTTCTGTCATTTCAGCCATCTCAACCCAGTTCAGAACCCTTGCTGTAGAGGCGATGTGGTCATTTGGGGGAAAGAAGGAACTGTAGCTTTTTGAGTTGTCAGCTTGTCTGAATCTTGCACTGATTCTTTCTCATCATTGTGGGCTTATTTACCTTCAATCGTTGAGGTTGCTGACCTTCGGATTGTTTTTTCTTTCATCCTCTTTGATTACCTTGAGGGTTTGATTGTGATATAAGGTGGAATCAGCCAACTGGCTTCCTTTATGGAAGATTTTAGGGGGCCAACACTCTGCTTCTGACTCCTAGACTGCATGCTCTAACTCTAGGGGACTTATATTGGGCCCTACTTTGTTCTCTGACTCCTTGAGTTTAGGACTCCATTGCACTGGGGGAGCCAAGGTGCTCCTGGACCACTGGTCACCACACTCCAATGGGTGGTGTCAATCAAAGTGCTTAGTAATGTGGTGACAGCAGGATCTGTCTTCATAGTGACAGCTGCAGCAGAGTGTTATAGGGTGCTGGATGCCTGCCTCCTTGTGGGCGTTCATCATAGTGCCAGAGGCAACACAGCTGGGGAAATGTGGAGGGCCCCTGCTGGTGACTGCATGCATGGTCACACTGAAGGTGCTGTTGACACTGGGGCAGGACACTGATGGGCACAGGTCTGGGTGCCTTCTCTGTGCCCCGCATGCAGGAGTGGTCACTCAGGGTGGGGAATATGTTCTCTGCACAGTGTTAATACAAGGGTGGGGCACTTGTAGGGGTGGGGCTGGCTGGCTCTGTGCCCACCAAATCTCTGTCTACAATGGTGTTTGGCCAGCAGTAGCATGGAGTGGACTGTACTACCACACACTGGAAGGGCAAGAAAAGAAAAACCCGCTCACCCAGACACGTGCTAGCAAAGCTATGTGGGGAGTTGCTGTGGTCCTAGGGGACCACATGCTGCAGTATGGGAAGGGAGTGTGTGGGCTGGTGCGTGGCCATAGGGGTCACCATGCCGGAGAGGCCAGCAGACCAAGGGGTGCTCAGGTCAAACTGGCTTTGTGTGATGGGCAAGACCACCCTGCAGAGTTCAGGTCTGACAGTTCCCCTAGGTCTAAAGTCTCCTATGGGACAGGAGCAAGCTGATCCTAGGGAAATGAACTCTCCTGGCCATGCCCCACTACAGACACTCCTGCACACCAAATCCTCTGGGCCAAAAACAGCTGGCTTGCTGTCCCTACCACTTCTCTAAGCAGCCTTTCCTGCCAACCGAAGTGACTGCAATAGTCAAGGGGTCTCTACCTGCCAGGGTTCCAGAGGCCCATGGCAAGAGCAGGTTGCTCTTTGCCAGTTCAACTCTCCTGTTCCTCCAGAGCCATTGGGGGTCAGGAATGAGTTCCAGTATGTGGTAGCCCCATGCAGGTTCCCAGCTTCCTTCCCCTTCAGCCCAGCTTCCTTCTGTCCAGTCTCGTTGCCTTCCTTCTGAAGCTCTGTTAAAGCATGCCAGTCGTCTTGGTCCCTGAGTGGGAACTATTCCACCCTGCTGCATCTAATTGGCCATCTTGCTCTAATATATAAAACGTATTTCAACTGCATATCTTTCAGGATATCAGATTCAGGGGAAATAAATATATGAGAAAAACTGTATAGACACAGAACTAACATTGTATATGTACGGCCAACATCAAATTATATGCTGAACAATGAATTAAAATCAGATGTGTGTTCTCTTAACAATGCTGTAATTTAAATGTGTCCCCCATTGTTTATGTGTTGGAGACTTAATCCCTCAGTGCAACTGTGTTGAGAGGTAGGGCTTTAAGAGGTGATTAGCTCATGAGGGCTCTGCCCTCATGTGTGGATTCATGCTGTTATTAAGGGAGTAGGTTAGTTATTGTGGGAGTGGGATCTTGATGAAAGGAATGAGATTGGCTGTCTTCCCTCTGTCTCTCTCAAGCTCTTTCTTGCTCCTCTGCCTTCCACCATGGGATGATGTGACAAGAGGTTCTTGCCAGATGTGAACTCTTCAACATTGGACTCCTCAGTCTCCAAAACCATAAAAAATCTCTATTCCTTATAAAATACAGTCTCAGACATAACAATTATAGCAGCACAAAATGAACTAAGACAAGCATCTGTTAATATTTTTAAACCAGAAGGAAGTAGTAAATTAGATCTTTGCTTCAAAGGATTTTGAATCACAACCATAAGAGAACAATACAATATTTTCAGCTCAAATATGTGAGTGTGTGTGTGTATATATATATATTTTCTTTTTTTGTTGTGTCATTGCCATATATATATATGTATATATATATATACATATATATGTGTGTGTATATATATATACATATATATATACGTATATATGTGTATATATATACACACATATATATATGTAGCCACAAGTTGCATATGAAAAAATAAATGACCATACTTTATTATTCTGTATGTGTATGAATATGTGTGTGTGTATATGTGGCAGGGGAGTTGCTGTGTGTGTATGTGTGCATGTGTGTTAATGAGAGAAACAGGAGATAGAGAAGGAGAGAGAACAAAGGAGAACTTGAGATTGAGTACATGCATCTTTTCTTTGGGCTCTTGAGATAAGTTGAAGCAATATTTATAAAATCAGGATGTTTGCATGTTTAGTTTTACCAGTCTGTGTTGTAGGTACTAATGCTTTATATAACCAAACATAGGATTAAATAGGTATGTGTATTGGTCAGGGTTCTCCATAGAAATAGAACCAATAGAATAGATAGAAATAGATATAGTGTATTATAAGGAATTGGCTCACATGATTATGGAGATTAACAAGTCCCAAGATCTGCAGTTCAGGAAACTGGAGAACCAGAAGATATTGGCTACGGGTTTGTCATAAATAGCTCTTATTATTTTGAGATATGTTCCATCAATACCTAGTTTAGAGAGTTTTCAGCATGAAGCAATGTTGAATTTTATCGAAGGCCTTTTCTGCATCTATTGAGATAATCATATGGTTTTTCTCATTGGTTCTGTTTATGTGATGGATTATGTTTATTGATTTGCGTATGTTGAACCAGCCTGGCATCCCAGAGATAAGCCGACTTGATTGTGATGGATAAGCTTTCTGATGTGCTGCTGGATTCGATTTGCCAGTATTTTATTGAGGATTTTCACATCAATGTTCATCTGAGATATTGGACTGAAATTTTCTTTTTTTGTTATGTCTTTGCCAGTTTTTGGTATCAGGATGATGCTGGCCTCATAAAATGAGTTAGGGAGGAGTCCCTCTTTTTCTCTTATTTGGAATAGTTTCAGAAGGAATGGTACCAGCTCCTCTTTGTACCTCTGGTAGTTCTAGCGATAAGTCCAAAGTGTAGCTAGAACTACATTTTGTAGTTCTAACCTGAGTCCAAAGGCTGAGAACCAGGACAACTGATAATACTGTTTCTGTCTTAAGGCCTGCAGGCTCGAGACCCAGGAACAGCAGATGTTTCAATGTGAATCCAAAGGTAGGAGAAACAAACAAAAACATCCCAGCTCAAGTCAGTTAAACTGAAGGAAATTCTCCCTTATTCCCATGGGTCAGCGTTTTTGTTCTATTCATGTCTTTAGCTGATTGGATGAAGCTCACTCACAATAGAGGGTCAATCTGTTTTACCCAGCCTACAGATTCAAATGTTAATCTCATCTAGAAACACTCTCACAGACACACGCAGAATAATGTTCAACCAAGTGTCTGGACACACTGTGGCACAGTTAAGTTGACACATAAAACTACCCATCACAATATGCCTTGCTATAATTACCATTTCAAACAAGTCAAAATGTCCTCATAATCCATATAAACTGCCTACACATTGGGCTTACTCTTTGTACACTTTCTTCCCTCCCTTTCGTTTGCCCTTCCTTTCTTTCTTTCAAATCACATACAAATAATTTCAAATATGATTTTATTTTATTAATGAACAACTAAATTAGGACTACACTGAGAATATTTAGGTTTGGGAGAATACATTTCAGAGTATATACTTAATAGACTTCTGTCACACATGTCCGTGTGAAGACAGTCCACCAAACAGGCTTTGTGTGAGCAACAAGGCTGTTTATTTCACCTGGGTGCAGGTGGGCTAAGTCCGAAAAAGGGGTCAGCAAAGGGTGGTGGGATTATCATTAGTTCTTATAGGTTTGGGATAGGCGGTGGAGTTTTTTGTGGGTAGGGGGTAGATCTCACAAAGTATATTTTCAAGGGCAGGGAGAATGTTACAAAATACCTTCTTAAGGGCGGGGTTGTGGGGGGAATATCACAAAGTACATCATCGCAAGGGCGGGGAGGGTGTATTGTCATAAGGTCAATTGATCAGTTAGGGTGGGGCAGGAACAGATCATAATGGTGGAATGTCATCTTTTGTGGTTCGTCAGTTGCTTCAGGCCATCTGGATGTATACATGCAGGTCACAGGGGATATGATGGCTTAGCTTGGGCTCAGAGGCCTGACAACTTCTTCATACTGAATGAAGTGAAAATAGTTCTACAAATATACTTCAGCAAATGTTACTATGGAGAATTAAAAGCAATAATACAGGTAATAAAGTTCTGGGTAGCCCATTTAAAATTTTTTTTTCCAGTTCTAATGTTTCTCAAAAACAAAAACAAATTAACAAAATTAACAAGGTGCAACATTTCTTTTATAAGTTCATAAATACAAACTCATTCTTAGTGATTTCTACAGAACCTGGCATATAGAAAAGACACAAATGTGAACTCAGTACACATTCATCTTAAGAAAATATTAAAGACAGAAAACAATTAGCATTTGGTCCTATAAATGCTTATTTCCATATAAAACCAGGTCTTGAATCTTAACCAATCTTTAATAACTTTGCATGAAAATATTGGCAGATTTTGTTAAAATTATTCACTTAATGAATAGAACTATCCATCCCTATTCAAATATAGGGAACAACATCTTTCTCTGGAATTGTTTACAGCTGATTACATAGAATATCTGCACTCCGCAGCTTTCCCAAAAATAATCAATCAAGGCTATGTTAAACCACAATAATTCTTTTTCTTGCCCCTTCTAGATACTTAAATGGAAGAAGAGGACGTGATAAAGTTTCTTATGCTTATCACGTAACAATTCCCTTTAGAACCATTTTTTGTTGTTGTTGTTCTACTCAGTGTTTTATACAAAAGAAGAGGAACTTTAAAATAGTGCAGCCATTGTTTTCAACTCAATTAACATTTCATGAATAAATGGCCTTCCTCCCTCATTTTCCACTTGGCCAGACACACCCTATTTCCAAGTAGCACCTATACTCTCACTTTCAAGTGTTTTTATCTCAAGAAGCTAGCCTCTCATTGAGGCTTCTTATTTTTAAATACTTTGTCACTGAATTCAGTATTCAGACAAATATTTTGCAACACTGAGTAGACTTTGGAATAACCTGGGGAGGTTAAAGAAAACAACAACTGGGTCTCAAACCAGAGCAAATACATTACAATCTGTCTAGGTGAGATTTGGGCATAATAACTTTTTCCTAAGGGTGATTTAACATAAAGTCAAGTTTTTGAATCAGTGCTTTATTAAGCCGTTGATGAGGTATCCTTTGAATTCCCTAAGTAATTGGAATATTTGACTTGTTTGGATATTTCTTTACTTGTAAACGCTAAAAAATGTTTTAGAGGCAGTATTGATGAAGAAATAATGTAAAAAATGAGGTAGTGAATTTTATTTGTATATTATACAAAAATACTCTGGAGAGAGCCTACAAGAGGAAACCAATAGGCTTTTTCCTCTCTAAAATTTTGTTATGAAAATCATCAAACATACAGAAATAGTGAAAGACTGGCAAGTAAACATTCATAGTCAATTGATTAAATTCAACAATAGTTAATATTTTGTTATATTTGTTCCTTCCTTTCTTTGTTTCTTTTTACAAAATAGTCATTTAGGTATCTAGGTTTATGGAAAACAGCCTTATACTAGGAAAGAATGTGTAGCCTTATAAGTATTTATTCTTTGAAGGGGACAGTGTGGATTCAGATTATTATTTTGTAATCTACATATATTTAAATATATATAAATTAAACACACATATGCTCATTTATCTATATTTGTACCTTCTTGGGTATTTAGATAATAAGTCACAATTTATATGCATATCTAAGATGATATATAGAAATCAATGTTAACATCTCATAGGGAATTATTATTTAGAGAGGTCTGAACCAAGGAATTATGTTTACAGTATCAGCTCTGACTTTAACAACAGCCAAAATATACAGTATTATTTTATAGATGAAGAAATTGAGGAGTTGTGCAATTTGTAGTCATTTGAGTTCTGCTTTGTAGACATCCGCTACATTAGTGGTTCTGAAATTTTAGCCCGTATCAGCATCAACTGAAGAACACGTGTAGATGTGCAGATGTAGTAGCAGTTTTCCAGAGAAGCAGAACTATTGTATGTGTGTGTGTGTGTGTGTGTGTGTGTGTGTGTGTGTGTAGAGAGAGACAGAGAGAGAGAGAGAATAAGAAATTGACTCACATGATTATGGAAGCTGAGAACTCCTCAGTCTGCCATCTGCAAACAGGAGACCCAGAAAGCCAGTGGTGTGGCCCAGTTTGAGTCTGAACACCTGAATATCAAGAGAGCCAATGGTGTGAGTCTCAGTCTAAGGGCAGGAGAAAAGTGATGTTTCAGCTGAAAGCAGTTATGCAGAAAAAGGGGTAAATCTTTCCTTCCTCCAAACTTTTGTTCTATTCAGCCCCTCATCAGGTTGGATGATACCCACCCTCATTGGGAAGAACAATGTGCTTTACTGAATTCACTGATTCGAATGCTGATCTCATCTGCAGAAACCCTCAAAGACACACCCTAGAATACTGCTCAGGCAAATGTCTGGGCAGCCCTTACCCAGTCAAGTGGACACATGAAATTAGCCGTCATAACATGTTAAAGTGCCCACTGCTGGTCCTCACCCCCAGAGTTTTCTAAATCAATAGGTCTGGGGTGGAACCCAAGACTTATTTCAAGATTTATTTATATTTCTTATACCTTATATACTGAAGCTGTTAGTCCAGGGTTCACACTTTGAGAACCACATCACTGAACTTCAAGACTCAGCTCAGGAGTGATGTTTTCCCCCAAGACCTTCTGTGTCCATCAATATTCTGTACCTTTTTTTCCCCTCACTGTTTGATTTGTTTGAAATGCCCTGCCTACATTTTTGCATCACCTTTTAAGAAATAGGTGATTATCGTAAAATATACTTTAACTATGAACAGCTCAATCCTTTCCCCAACAGACACACACACACACGCACACACCCATACCCACCCACACACACACCAAAATATGTTTCTAGCTCCTCAGGGAGCTTGACAGGAAAGAAATATACCGGATTACCCTGTCTAACCAAAGAGCCTAAACTCATACTTTTACCTGTTAAGTGTTCATTAAAAGTTTCTTTTCTTTTCTTTTCTTTTCTTTTGAGATGGAGTCTCGCTCTGTTGCGCAGGCTGGAGTGCAGTGGCGCGTCTCGGCTCACTGCAAGCTCCGCCTCCCGGGTTCACGCCATTCTCCAGCCTCAACCTCCAGAGTAGCTGGGACTACAGGCGCCCACCACCACGCCCGGCTAATTTTTTTGTATTTTTAGTAGAGACGGGGTTTCACCGTGTTAGCCAGGATGGTCTCGATATCCTGACCTCGTGATCCGCCCGCCTTGGCCTCCCAAAGTGCTGGGATTACAGGCGTGAGCCACTGCATTAAAAGTTTCTTGAGCCAGGCGCGGTGGCTCATGCCTGTAAGCCCAATACTTTGGGAGGCCGAGGCGGGTGGATCACAAGGTCAGGATATCGAGACCATCCTGGCTAACACGGTGAAACCCCGTCTCTACTAAAAATGCAAAAAAATTAGCCGGGCGAGGTGGCGGGCGCCTGTAATCCCAGCTACTCCGGAGGTTGAGGCAGGAGAATGGCGTGAACCCGGGAGGCGGAGCTTGCAGTGAGCCAGGATCGCGCCACTGCACTCCAGCCTGGGCGACAGAGCGAGACTCAGTCTCAAAAAAAAAAAAAAGATTTTTAAAAGTTCCTTAAATTGTCATCTTTTACACACATATGGTTACTATAAAGGGAAATTAAAAATTATGTCTAGATAGTTTTTACCATGATTCTACATAGAGACAGGTTTGTAAAGAACATTCAGTGAATATTATGCTATACAGACAGAAAAAAAGCCTATAAGGACTAATTTTCAAATGTTTTCTGCTCCTTTAAAATATTGAAACAGGACATCATTCCCATACACACCTCAGACATATCCTCAGAAAGCTGTGGATCTTCAGAAAGCTGTACGGGAGAAATAAAATGTATAAACTAGATTTTAAAATAAAATATGTGGAAAATACTAACATTGTGAACCACATGATCTGCTGATATCCCTTGAGGCTCAAAGTCCATTTATATCTGAAATAATAAAACTGGGAATAATATGCAAATAGTGTACTAATAACTCTGAATTCCAAATATAAGCTCTTCTATAAAATGAGATAATACTGCCAATAACCTTGTAAGTTTATTGTAAGAGTTAAGAGAAATAGCACATCCAAAGTTCTTAGCAAACTCTCTCAGAGGCTGGGGCTGGGGTTGGGGCTGAAACACTCACACAAAATGTGTGACACTTATCATAACACTGAACGGGGGTCAAATTTTTGTGTGTTATGGAATCCCCCCTTGACAATGTCAGAGAGTAGAAACAAATTCCTCCTGTGTTTTGGAGTATTTTTTCTACTCCAAACTTAAATTTTGTGAGCCTATTGGTTTGGGTAGATAGGCCCGTTTATCATCATTGCAAATTGACACTATTAAGTACATAATTTTATCTCAGATCTACTGTGAGAGATCGAAGAATCAGGTTGGGTATATATTTTAAAAAGCTTACCTATGAAAGTTTAAAATGGATAGTACATTTTAACATTTCTATAAGTTGAAAGATGTAATATAATGTAATGTAAGCATCTGTGTACCAATGAAGGACAGGTAAACAATGGAACCAGACAGGAAAATTCCGAAACAGGAGGGATTACAGCTTAATACCTCTTCCTCACCTCTGGGTACCATGTTATTATTTATTTTGGCTAATATATTATCCTTCTTTTTGAAGGAAAAGTAAGAACAGATTAATAAATGATGCACATATAACTAGATAACCTCCCTATCCCTTTTCCCAAAAAGGAAAAATTAAGTCAGATTAAAAGTTTCATATTTTATTAGATTAATGTGAAAATTTGGTATAAGACAGTAAAAAATTTGCTGTTTCCCTTTTCAAAACCAAACTTCCAGACCAGAGTAAACACTGTTGTTTTTACTGTATTTTTCTACTCTGATTAAGCTAAGTAACCTTAAACAAGTGACTTAGCTTCTTGGAACCTCAATTTCTTTTATCTGCAAAATGGAGATTACGATCCTCCCCTTCCTCCCATAGTAATTTCAAGGATAAAAGCAATTTTTGATGAAAGAGGTGTTACATATATGGATAGTAACATTCTAGACCTCAGAAATATTATGGTGTAAAACTATACTATTTTCAAATTTTCTTAATCTTTATGTCTCTGGGGGATCATATTCTTAATATTTGACACCAAGACTTCTATTTCCTTTTGAAAAGAACTATAGAGATACCCTCTTCCATTTCATTCAAGTTAAAATATGGTTAATATTAGTAATGATTATAATCCATAGCATATGCGCCTGTTGCCATAAATAACATTTTGAAGGTAAGGGCAAGGATGAGACTGAAAGAACAGAGACATTATATGTTATAATGAAAAGAAGGCCATACTGGGCATCTGAAGTACCAGCTCACTGAGTCTAAGACACCTTATTTCCCCAAACCAGAGGTTCCTGCTATAATCCATTAGTCAAAAGCCATGCTGGTGACTATGATATGTGAAAAAGCAAAAGTGTTATGTTTGAGAACAAAAAAATCTTGTTCTTGGCTAAACTCTAGAATCTTATCATTTCCATTTCATTAATTAAATTTGGCACCTGCAACTCTGTCAGCAATGTAAGATTGTACACAACGCCAAGTGTACCCACACATGGCCTTGAGAATTTCTGCAGCAACTTACTTCCCAATTTTAGATCCCATGTTGATGGATACTTCAGTGCCTTGTTTCAAGCTATTTTCTCATAGATGTATCCACCACAGCCGAAAGGAAGGAATGCTTGCCTCAAATTCTGAGAGCTTCATCCCAGCAGGGTGGGTATTAGCTGTCCTCCCAGCATTTCATTAAAGGAAGACGATAGTGCAGTTAGCTGTCCACCCAACTTTATTGTATAGGCCATTATTTCCTTAGTACCAAAATATCAGTATTGGGAAATGATTCAGCATAGAATTTCTATGTTCAAATTCTGATTCTGCCAGGTACTGTGTAAGCAATTCTCTTCATATATAAAATGGAAATATAATACCTCATGAAGTTGCTTGGAAGATTAAATAAGATAAACACAAACACACACAGTTCCTTGTACATATAATAATAATGATAGTAATAATAATTGTTCATCTTATGAAATATTTTGTACTACTTTACTAGGATGTTATTAGGCTGTTGGCACTTTAGAATATCATCTTTATTAGGAAGACTTTCAAATTCCCTTTCAATGTAAGCTAATGCAGAAGTTTCTAGGGAAAAAATGAGTATTTATGAGAATTGTTTGCCAAAAATACCTCATAAAACAGTATACCACCTTAGTGTTTTTACAACATCTTTAGGTGGTAACTTATACAATTCCCATTTTATAGGTGAGGAAACAGATCCAATGAAGGTACTTAAGGCCATAAGACAACAGACAGAACTATGATAAAAATAACAACAGCAGCAGCATCAATAACAATAACAATAATGATAATCATAATCATAGCAACAACAACTAATATCTTCGGCAAGCTTACTAAGCTCCAGATCTCTTGCTGAAATACATAACACGTATTGTCTAATTGTCTCATTATTTTCCCAAAAGAACAAAAGTAATATTTAGATCAGTGGCTCGCAACCCTGGCTATGCATGAGAATTAACATGAGCACATTCAAAAATATTGATACTCTGCACCCATCCCCAGAGATACTGGTTTAATTGGTCTTTGGTGGTGCACAGATAATGGTATCTATTTTAAAGCTCCCAGGTGATTCTAACTTGCAGCCAGAGTATAAGACTCTTGCTTGGAGAGTTCAAGTAGCCTGTTGAAAATTACTCACATACACAGAGACTTCTCCCAACTTGCCACTGAAAAACTCTTACTCTTAAACTCTCTGTAATGCTAACTCCATATTCTTTCTTTTCACTGTGCCAGTTGCTGTCCCTTCTTTCCCCAGCACATATTGTCTTGGCTTGACTACAGACGTTGGCTTCACACTGAATTCTTTTAACACCTGTTTCCACTCACTTCCCTCCCCATTGGGCACAGAAAGAAGAGAATAATTCCGAGTTTCAGCAGAGTTATTAGCACCTCCTTGTCAGACCGTATCTCACATTTCCTTGCCTATAATATGTCTCTGCTCCTCGACCACAGGGTGCTAGTCTAATACGGAAGCTGGCTGAGAAGAACACGAGGAGTCACAAAACATAAGTGCTAAGTGTTTACGGTGATAGCTATTATTAAGCTGGCTTCTTCTGGAACTGCTACACTTCCCAGCCCACAGTATCAGATAACGCAGAGTTAAGGCTGGGGGTTTTCCCTAGCAGGATCAATGAGACAATCTACTTCCGAGTTACCTGAAGACAGGCACACAAAGATGAATATCACATGTTCTCACTCATATGCAGGAGCTAAAAGAGTTTATCTCACAGAGGTGGAAAGTACAATGAGAGTTACCAGAAGCTGGGAAGGGTGGGAGTTGGGAATGAAGACAGATTGGTTAATGGGTACAAAAAATACAGTTAGATACAAGGAATGAGTCCTGGTGTTCAATAGTGTATGATGACTATCATAAACAATATTGTACTGTGTATTTCAAAATACCTAAAAGAGAAGAAATGCTCTCAACACGAAGAAATGATAAATGTTTGGGGTGATGGATATTCTACATATGCTGATTTGATCACTGTATATTGTATGCATTTTTCAAAGTATCACAGGTACTCCCCCATAAGTATGTACAATTATTATGTATCAATTAAAAAAGAATTGCCTGAAGGTGAGAATTGTTGAAAATGTAGATTTCTGGGATAAATCCAAGTCTTCAAACTTAAAATTCCTGACAGCACTATGTGTCAACAAAATTTGGAGATGATTCTGATAAAAATAAAAATTGATAAGCATCTCTTTCAACAGAGCCTACTTCTAACCCAGCATGAGAAATTAAAACTGTGAGATGACATAAATCAGAATTTCTCAACAGCAACCACGAGGTAGGAGAGGGACAGGACTTACTTCCCAACCCCAACAGGATGAAGTGAATAAACCAGCAGGAGCCAGCAGGTGGCGCAGAAAGCAACCTCTAGTTGCTCTCATTGCTCATTAGCATAAGACACACCCACCAGCGCCACGACCAACGCCATGGCAAAGACCCGGAAGTTACCGCCTCTTTGTATGGCAAGAGCTCAGAAGTTACCACACATTTTCTAGAGATTTATGAATAATCTACCTCTTAATTTGCATGTAATTAAAAGTGGGACTAAATACAGCTAGACAGGAGTCCACAAGTGTTCACTCTGAGCACACTGCCTATGGGTCAGCCCTGCTCCGGAAGGAGCAGTACCAGTTCAATAAAAGCTTCTATCTTTTACTTCTGACTCAGTCTTGAATTCTTTCCTGATCAAATCCAAGAACCCCCCTCTGATAAACCCCAAAGTTGGGGGCTCACCTACCCTGCATCAACACTACTGATATTTTGGACAGGACAATTTTTTGGCATGAGGGATGATAGCTATGCACATTGTAGGATTATGGGCAATGTACCTGGCCACATTAGAGGTTAATAGCATCTCCCTAGTCATCACAATCAGAAATAGTGTGATGGGAAAGGCAAAACTGCCTCCTGTTGAGAACAACTAACATAGATGAAAAGAGGGATTCATGATGTCCCTGAGCATTCAGGACCAGTTCTATTCCGTAATGATTCTTCCTAAGACCAATTTTTCACTTTCTTGCACATTCTGCACACAGATTATTACATTCATTGTTAATTATATTATGCAATTGATTGGATGTCCACTATATATGCCAGGAGCATGACTAGGTTATTAATACCTATTATCTCCTTTATCTCCCCTGCTCTTAAATGTAGTACACCGGTCTAACACTGCAGGTTGTAGTCCAGGACTGCCTAGGTTTCTCCAATACTTTACAGCTACGCAATCTGGAGAATGGTTACTATGTCTCAGTTTCAACAACAACAACAACAAAATTGGGTAATAATAGTATCGTATTAGTCTGTTTTCACACTTCTATAAGGAAATATCCAAGCCTGGGTATTTATAAAGGAAAGAAGTTTAATTGACTCACAATTCCACATGGCTGGGGAGGCTTCAGGAAACTAATAATCATGGTGGAAGGTGAAGGGGAAGCAAGGACTTTCTTCACATGGCGGCAGAATAGAGAAGAGAGAGCGAAGTGGGAAAAGCCCTTTCTAAAACCACCAGATCTCATGAGACTTCACTCACTCTCGTGAGAACAGAATTGGGGAAACTGCTCCCATGATCCAATAACCTCCCACCAGGTTCCTCCCTTGACATGTGAGGATAACAAATTAAGATAAAATTTGGTTGGGGACACAGCCAGACCATATCAAGTATCTACCTCAGATGTGTAAATTACAAGTAAGGTGCTTATTACCGTGGCTAATACATAAAAACAACTAATGTTTACTGAACTCTAACGGTTATATTAATTCCATTTGACAGATGAAAGGACAGTTGTGCTTATGGATAAAGTAACTTGCCCCAGGTCATAGAGCTAAAAAGTCTCAGAGCTTGGATTCAAATACAGAACTATCTGATTTAAATGTCTCATTATTTTTCACAATACAACAGTACATAAATTGCTAGACAGCATGTTACTGCCCGTCTCCATGTCCTTTTTAAATTGTGTTTCTTTTGAATCCTCAACCCCTTATTCTTGGCAATAATGACTCCCTAGTTTGGTCCAGACTAACAATGTTTGCATGATATTTTAAAACACTAAAAAATGCAGTACTTAACAAATTATCAGTAAATACATTAAGTTCTAATGGAATCTGCCATTTATTGGAATGAAATAATTTGACTAATTTGTTGTAGCAAGATGCTCTAGGAAAACTTCTAGAAAACTGGAGAAAAATTGGGTTCTAGTGTGGCTTGGACATTAACAATCTGAGTCCCAGAGGTCTGGAGACAACCTGCCGAAGTTCTCTGTCTCTTGGCATTTCCGATTTCATGTTGTCTCAGTGAATTTTGACTCTTTTAAATGTATCCTGTATGCAGTGTGTGCTCAACAAACATCTTTAGAAAGGATGAATAAATGACTTGATTACAAACCCATGATATTTTCCACAGCAGATCTTCAAAAGATGACAATATTTGTTTTCTCATTCCAGCATGTTCGCACTCAAATATTTTGGCATCCAAGCATAAATCATTGAGAAAAAGACCCTTTTAATATTTTTGTACCATAGTATCCAAATTCTAGTTAGAAAAGAATTTTCTCTTGTTTAAAACGACAAATTTCAAAGCACTTTATTTTTGCAGGGTTCATTTGGTTTCACTGTGGAACAGAAAAATAGGACTCATTCCAGAAGATAAATAAATTTGGTGACTTTAAGGTTTGGAATTTATTGTTTTACCTCCTGGGGAAATACAGCAAACAACGACACACATTATTCTGTCTGAATAATTTGTTTGCCCTATGAAATCCCCAGTCAACAATTAATATTGCAGGTTCTTTGAGAGTTTAATGTATTTATAGATAATTTGTAAGTACTGAATTTTTAAGTGGTTTCAAATATCCAAGTAAGCAATGTGAGCCTGGAATAATCTGCATGTTCATTTGCTAAACAATTTATGATAGAAAACATTGCTACATTCTGATTCCATGTTTTTATTTTATTATTTAGGTTTCTAAATCGCTGTTCCACATAATAGAGAAAATTCAACCTGTTAATTTCAGTAAATCTCTAAGGAATTATAAAAATAGTTACCAATTATGGGAAAAATATTTTCTGATTAATCAGCACTTGATGAAAAGGACCATTAGCTTTCTTAGTATTAACGGGACTCTTCATCACAATTACTGCCTGTGCATGCTTATTGATTAATTGACTAGAAGAAGAGATGGTGCATACATCAACCTGTATTCTTGGAAAGAAAAGCATTATAGAATTAGAGCTATAATTACTATCTTAAAGAAACTCTGATGTGAGGAACAGATGGGAATACTAGAATAGATTTGATTAATGTTAAAAATGTTCTGATTCTGAAAAAAGTAACACATCCAAAGTATTAATTTGTTCAATTCCCTGTTGAAAACAAGTAGCACCCAGATGCCCCTTACGTTGAATTTACACAATGAGAATATAATGTTTTTATTAAGACATCTCCTATCTGATGGTTTAGAAGGGAAAATATTTTTCTTTTGGACATTAGAATACAAATAGAAGAACCTTCTAATAGTAACTCATTTGGAAATAATTATTTGAAAAAAATGTTTTTTGAGATGATACCTTTCTATGTTGCCCAGGCTGGAATGCAGTGGCTACTTCATAGATGCGATTGTAGGACACACCAGACAGAAACTCCTAGGCTCCTGTCATTCTTCTGCTTCAGCTTCTCAAATAACTGGGACTACAGGCACATGCCAACATGTCCAGAGGTGATAATTCCTAATAGGGCAACAAATATTTGACAGAGGACTGTACTCATGATGAAATGAGCATGGGCTATAGAGAGAGATCTCCCTGAGTTTGCTTCTGGCTCTGCCATTTCCTAGTGGTGTGTCCTTCAGCACAGTCTTTATTTATTTTTTAATTTGCATATAGTAAAACTCAATCATTTTGTTGTTGAGTTCTACGAATTTTGGCAAATGCATAGTGTGTTTCAATACCACAACAATCTAATGAAGAAATATAATATTCCCATCACCTCAAAATATTATCTTTGCTGCCCCTTTGTAATCAAATGCCTCTCCTGTACCCTGGTAACCACTGATCTGTTTTCCATCTCTAGTTTTTCCTTTTCCAAGGCATCGTTTAAATTAAACCATAGGTAGCCTTTTGAGTTTAGCTTCTTTCTCTTATTATAATGCATATTCAAGTAAAATAAAAAGCCATGTTCACACAAAAACCTGCATTTGAATTTTCATAGCTGTGTTATTGATAATTGGCCTGTACTAGAAACAAATCTAATGTCAAGTGGTGAATATAGAAACGAACTCTTCTATATCCAATAGAATAATACTCAGCAGACAAACTACTGGTACATGCAACAATGTAGATTGATCTCAAATGCTTTGGCCAATTTTAAATCTGTGCATTTGCCAATCTTCTCATCTGAGAAATGAAAAAAAAATGCCAGAATTGCAAATTCATGGTGAGAGCTGAAATATTTAATGTAAAATATTTTGTAATGTGTTCAGCTCATAGAAGTTGCTGGAATACTTTTTTGCACTATTATTTTACATTTTTATGGAATAATTTGATTAATTGAGTACAATAGACAACAGTGGTTAAAACAGAAATATAGCTACAATCAAAGTCATTCCAATGTCATAATTGCGCAAGTCCTGGTTTTGGAAAGAAGGGATGGTATAAAACTTCAGGCTGTGACTGCTATTTCCTTGGCTCACTCATATTGGTACAGACAGGAGACAGGGAAATACTGGGTAGAAGAGGGCAGTTCCCCAGCAAAGGCCCCACCCTCAAGCCTGGATACCCAGGGCCCTAAATGGGAACAGGCATTCCTATTTTTGTGCCCAAAAAGTTGCCTTTTGTCCCACCACACCCTACTATCCTGTACCCATATAAACCCCAGACCCCAGGATCCAGAAGGAAATGAGGAGACAAGCAGAGGAGCAGAACGTGTGGCAGACAAGGAAAGAAGAGAAGGAATGTCAGGAGGAGTTCGGCTGCAGACAGTCAGAGAATCGGCTGCTAGATGGCCAAACTCCAGGTGAAGATCATTTCCCCACTCCACCCCCTGTCCAGCTCCCCATCCATCCTGCTGAGAGCCACCTCCACCACCCAATAAAACCCTGCATTCACTATCCTTCAAGCCCTTGCAGAAAGGCAGAGGGTCCACTGAGCTGGTTAGCACTTAAGCTGTTGGTGGACAGCAAGACTAAAAGAGCTCACTGTAATATACACCCACTTGGGCTCCTGCACCTGTTTGTCTGTGTGCTGCCCCTCCTGTAAGTGGTTTGAGCAGTGTCGGTGACCAAACAGACGAGTCACACCCCTGTTGCACATCCTGCAAGGGAGGTCAGGGAACTCTCCCGTTTCATTATGGAGGGGAGATAATCTCCATGTCCTAAGAAAGGGTTTCCTCCTGCTATAGTTGCTGTGCTTCAAAAGATATACATAATAGAATAATAATGACAAAACATAAAATAATAATATAGAACATACAACACATGCAAGGCACTGTGATAAACTGCTTAAATATATAACCTTATTTAATACTTGCAACAATCTAATAGGAAAGTTATTGTATTCCACAGATTACAGATGAGGAAGCTGAGATCAGAGAGGTTAAAGAATTAAAAGAACTGAATTTAGAATGCAGATAGTTTGTAGCAAAACCCTAGGTGCATATACACTGCCTCTTGAATTAAATAGTGATGTTAATTCAATATAAATATTTTTAGTACTTTCATATGAAGGGTTTTGAAAATTATGTGGAAAGAGTGTTCTACTGGTGACAGTATTTCACTTTCTAATATCTATGCACACACCATCTTTAATCTGAATGGTCTTTGTTATGTAGACATTAGAATTTTGAATTGTGGGAGTTAGATAATAATTTTTGAAGGCACAGAATGAATTTCATTAATCTTCCTCTTTTTCAAAAATATATGGTATGGGCCGGGTGTGGTGGCTCACACCTGCAATCCCAGCGCTTTGGGAGGCTAAAGCGGGCAGATCATGTGGTCAAGAGATTGAGACCATACTGGCCAACACGGTGAAACCCCGTTTCTACTAAAAACACAAAAATTAGCTGGGCGTGGTGACACGTGCCTGTAGTCCCAGCTACTCAGGAGTCTGAGGCAGAAGAATCACTTGAACCTGAGAGGCGGAGGTTGCAGTGAGCCGAGATTGTGCCACTGTACTCCAGCCTGGCCACAGAGCAAGACTCCATCTCAAAAAATATATATATGTATTTATATATAGTGTATATAGTATATATGTTACATATACTATATATATTTATATATAATATGTAAATATATTGTATTTATGTATTCATATATAATATGTAAATATATAGTATTTATATATTTAAAATATGTATAGTATTTATATATTATATGTACTATATATAGTATATCTAATATATATAGTACACAACTTTACTCTGTCTTTTTACAAGATAGCTCTAAGTCAAGTTTTAAAGTTTAATTGTATTTGTTTTTAATTCTTAAAATATGAATGAAAGGAAGTGAAAATGTAAAACAATGTGAATTATAATTTACTGTATTTGCAGTTTACTGGTTTAAAATTTACTCACAAGCCTTTTACCTGTCTGCCAAGATGTAATCTTTCCTCCAACATGATATAAGGTGACTTCTGATCAGCTGCCCCTCACTGAATGTTTTCAGGCACGTTTTTTTTTTTCAAGTTCAATTGCAGGAAGAGTCAAGTAGCTGATATTTACAGAGTTTTCCCTAGTCTGTAAGGACACAATGCGGCATTCAATTTTGTGGTTTACCTAGCATGCTGGACTCCCTCTGAGGCTTAGTGACTGCCTACCACCAAAAAAATAATAGAGGTGCAGGGGATTCTGGGAAATAAATGGATATTATTGAAAAACCAAACAATTGTAAATCAACATACAGGCTTTTTCTAGTCTTATTATTTTCTTCAGCCATCAAGTGCCTTCCTTATTCATCCGTTTTGTGGATAGAGAGCAAATTCTTTACGTATACATAAAACCAAAGTGTTATCAGCAAGATACTCAATGATGTGGAATTTAATGAGGCTGAAACCTTTTGAAAGCCTAGAACTATGAACTTGGCAAAGCAGGAAATGAATTGTATACAATTGAGAGGGAGGATGTTAGAAAAAAGGCATTACATTCAAAACAGGAAGAAAAGGCTGAAAAATGTGATCACTCTTTACACAATAAAGGTCAATTTCAAAGACAGTAATTTGCAGTATCTACTAAAACTTCACATATGCTCGCTCTGTGACATAGAAATTCAACTCCTTGGTGTACACCCAGTGGAAATGTGCAGATAAATTTATTTTAAAATATGTACAAGAATGTTCATAGTAACACCTCAAAATAGCTAAAGTTGGGAATTACCAAAATGCCCATCAACTGGAGACTGGATAAATGAACTAAGATGTATATATTTCCAGGTGAATATAACACAACAATAAATATAAATATTGTACAATTACACCACAATAAGATGATTCCTGAAAACATGATGTTAAGAGAAAGAAGCCAGATACTATATTGATTCTCATTACCTAAAATATGCAAGCAGGCAAAACTAACCTATGCTGTTCAAAGTCAGACAATGCCTGTTCTGGGGGTGTCGAAGCATGATAGAAGAGAACATGAAGAATTCTTATGGAGGGCTAGTAATAGTTTTGTTTCTTGGTCTATATATTAGGTACCAATTGTCTTAAGTTTATGCAGGTTCATTCATTTGCAGATATTTGACAGATATACTTTTCTATTTAAATATTAAACTTCAACATAACATAAAAATAACAATGAAGTCTAAAGTTATCTGTAAAAAAAGGGAGCATTTGTGTACATCATATCTCAACAGAAAATATGAGCATCTCAGCCAACAGAGGGTTAGCAAGAGTGAGGACTGATCTGTTCTGTATATGTTTTCTGTATGGGTGTCTAGTTCCAGGGCCCCATGGTCTTTTACTAATGGCTTCACTTAACGTGTCTCAGTGTGGTAGAGCTGGAGAATCACGGGCTGTCATGCTAGTCAGAGGTGAAGTTTAATCCCTGCTCTACAACTCTCTAGCTAAGTAGAGTTGAGTGAGATTTTGACCAACATTCAATGCTCAAAGGAGTAGTGTGAGGCTGTTTTTAAGATCATGGATTTATGTAGATAAAAATTTTCTCATGCATATAAAGTATCTAATGATAACACAAGCCTCTCCCTTTCTTCCACATATACATACACATAGAGAAAGAGTAGAAGAGAACAATAGGTATATCCATATTTATAGTGATACAGATACTTTAAAGATGTAAAGGCCTACTAATTACATTACAATTAACTTGTTTACTTACCTGAAATTTAACAAAGAACAAGAGGTTTACAAATATGCTGAAACATTCATTAACCAACAAAAGGAAGTGAAATAATTAAGTGTACAGGCTAGGATGTTCAGGTCATAATAGACATAGAAGTGAGTGAGCACCGTACAAAAATATGATGCAGCCATCCTTTCACAAGCTTAAGTTTTATGAGAAGTTTTTGAGAGATTTTTTAATGCTTTCCTAGAATAACATATCAAAACTCTTTAATTTCCTTCAGGTAATTAATAGTGACTGATTAGGAGAGATCTTGTTTAGCTTGCTTCAGGTACACAATGAGCAAAAATAATTAAGAATAGATTGTTTAGAATCTGTCACATCTTTTTGCTAGAAAACAAAATGCAAAGTGTTCTCTAAGATTTACAAATATATTGGCTGGGCATGGTGACTTACACCTGTAATTGCAGCACTTTGGGAGGCCGAGGTGGGCGGATCATGAGGTCTGGAGATTGAGACCATTCTGGCCAACATGGTGAAACCCCATCTCCACTAAAATACAAAAAAAAAAAAAAAATTAGCTAGGCATGTTGACACATGCCTGTAGTCCCAGCTATTTGGGAGGCTGAGTCAGGGGATTCGCTTGAACCCGAGAGGTGGAGGTTGCAGTGAGCCAAGATTGTGCCACTGCAATCCAGCCTGGCGACAGAGTGAGACTCCGTCTCAAAAAAAAAAAAAAAAAAGAAAAAATTTACAAATATAAATTTGTACTATGATATATGAGGATAAGACTTTGGTCTTTGCTAATCTTCAACAATCAGCGCAGTGTCTAGCAGGTAAGAGGTGCTTAAATATTTGCAAGTAAACAAAAACAAATGTATGGCTGTATACATATATGAGTCAAGTATCCTAAATACAGCTTTAAAAGTATAAAATAATACCAACTAAGAACTGACCCCTTTGTTATATGCTTCACTCAAGTCAACAGTAATTTATACCTCCTTCGCCTCCTTCTCCATTGCTCATACTTTTAGGAAAGCATAGGTTTGTTTTGTAGTTCATAGACCTATTTAATCCAAATTATGTTAATAGATAATATTTGATAAATAACCATTAATCAGTTTTATGCATATGTTTCAGAACAGAAAATATTGTTTGCTTTCTTTTTCATAGATTATAAGACATCTATTTATTAAAATATTACAAAATTTGTTCCTGCATTCTCTTTTCTGTTTAGAATTGTATGTGTGTGTGTTTGTCCTATGTCCCACAGACATATGTATGAAAGAGTAAAATAATTTCTTTTTTTTATTTGACCAACTAGCATTATATTTTAAAAGCTGAGGGCTTTTGAATGTTTACACATCCCATATAAAAATTTACTTATTGATTATCTTAAATAGACATCCTCACAAGATGATACCATTAAGTAAGAAAACACCATTTCTGGGAAGAAATGGTCCATCACTCAGCACATAATGCATTGCATTAACCCAATCCACTTCCTAATATATTTTTAAAAAATCACTTCACTTTTGATATTCACATGATTCCCTATTGCTCCTTGTAATATGAACGTATGTTTGAAAGATGGTTCAGTAAAATCATGTTCCTAAGTAAAACTCTCTTGTTTCTATCTTTTTTATTTTTTAAAATCAGCTAAACTAGGCCAAAGCAATAACTATGAAAAATGAAATGAGAGTGCTGATGTTCATCACTAAGTGCAGATGTATCTAAAAACAATATAATTTTAATTTCTGGAAGTAGTATTCATTTGAGTACACTCTTGAGTAGTAATGAATGTGTGTTTATTCATTACTATGAATAATTCTCTTTTCTTTGGCGATATTGTTATTATGTAGGTGGGAAATTCTTTTGAAAATTTCTTTAGGATTATTAGTGATCATGGCCATAACACACTCAAATATTTAAAGTAAGTCTGCAATGCATTTTGTTTTTACTAGTTTATGACAAGCATTTCTTTCATTGGGGAAGCATGCCTTTTTCATTCAGTTTTCTCTAATTCCAGGGATAGCTGTCTGACTTAATTCAGGTCAATTTGAGTCTTTTCAGTACCTTTTGGGAAAAGCTCTCTCTTTTTTATTCAGTTACCATTTAAAGAACCATGTGATGCTAATGGTGTCATTGCCTGTAATTCCTCCCAAGAAAAGAGATGAGTTTTCGAAAATGATGTACCACCGAGCAAAGGAGCATCAAGACATTAGGGGGGAAAAGAACCATGACCCCCCTTTCTTTTTTCCTCTTAAACCACTAGTGTTTTAAACAAGGTTAATTCTTCAAAGTTCCCTTGACCATGAGCCATGAATTCCACTTTTATCAAAGCTCGTTTGAAATGATCAGCACTTCTTGTCACAGGTGATAAAATACAGTGAATAAATATGTTTCTCTGTTAGTAAATGCTACGAAAGTATGGATATATAATATTTATATCTATTTTTTATACTTGATGAAGCCCTTGGTACAAATTAGAAGTTTTGTAAAGGTTTCTTAATCGAACAATTAAATTGAACTGAGGGGAAAAAAAAATCAAGAAAAAATTTTAAAAATTTGAGAAATGTGTCAATCATTTCAAAAAGTACAATAATATCCCATAACAAATATTATTATCACAGTGATACAATTTATTGCCAGAACAACTACTTCCAGATGAGAGGCAAAAGAGTAATATTCTCTTTAAATTCTTCGGTCAGATTTTTTTTTTCTTTTTTACCAAGAAAGAGTAGGGGATTTGAGTTTAATCTATACTCAGTTTTATCAGAAATGTGTGTGGCTGGCAGAAAATTAAATCCTAGTCATTGTTGTCTCTTCCTGGGGTCACCTGAAGGACCAACACAGGGGTGTTATACAGAATATTTAGGAAATACCTCGAATCTTCTGTCCACACCAGGCACCACCAACATAAGCTCATGATCTGGAATAGCTTTGTATCAGGCTGTTCTTGCATTGCTATAAAGAAAAACCAGAGACTGGATAATTTATTTAAAAAGAGATTTAATTGGATCCTGGTTCTTCAGGCTGTATGGGGAGCATGATGCTGCCATCTGCCTGGCTTCTAGGGAGGCCCCAGGAAACTTACAGTAATGGCAGAAGGCAAAGAGGGAGCAGAAATGTCTTACATGGTGACAACAGGAGCAAGAAAGCAAGGAGGAAGGTGCTACACACTTTTAAGCCAGCAGATCTTGAACTATAGTGAGGACCCTATGAAGGGGATGGTACTAAATCATTCATGAGAAATCTGTCCCCATGATCCATTCACCTCCCACTGGGCCCCACCTCCAACATTAGGGATTATATTTCAATCTGAGATTTGTGTGTGGGCACAGAGCCAAAGTATATTGAGCATATTTTCCAATGATTCAGGTTTCTTTAGATTTCATGCTAAAGAAGATCTTTAGCATGATCTTCTTTAGTGATTCTGGGAGACCACTGACCTAAAATTTGGTCTCTGAAAATACACCAAAGTCATTCATTTCTTCACCCTCCTAGGAGATAGGGAAGTCTTTACCTTCCCAGACATGATTGATAGGAGAAGGTCGTGAGGCTTTTGCTGAGCCCCAAACGACCATCCCTACTGCAATCTTGGAGAAGTCCAAAAGAAGAAACTCAAAAGATGGCAGGGAAAGGAAAACAGAGGTAAGAACTAGAAAACAAATAATAAAGGGGTAAACCTAAGTCTGCACATGTGATAATCAAATACAAATGATCTAACATTCCAATTTTGAACAGAGAATGGCTAAATGCATAAAGAGGGATATTATATAATGATAAAAGACTTCTCCAAGAAGTCAAAATAAACATAGATTTTAAAAAACTTGAATATGCACTTCAGCAAAGAGCAAACGTAGATAAAACATAAGCACATAAAATGGTTTCCAACATCATCACCCATTAAAGTAATACAAATTAAAAGCATGATGGGCACCACTACACATCTGCTAGAATGACTAAAAACAAACAAAAAACAAGCAAACCAATGAAAATCTGAAAATACCAAGTGGTAATGAGGATGAAGAGTAACAGGAATTCTCATATGTGGTTGTTGGGAATGCAAAATAATACCAGCCCTCTGGAAGGGTTTATCAGTATCTTATAAAGTTAAGCACACACAATACCATAGGATCTAGAGATTACACACCACAGTGTTTACCCTAGAGAAATAAAAACAGGTTCACACAGAAACTTGTACACCAATGCCTATAGCAGCCCTATTTAATGGTCCCAATCTGAAAATATCCCAAATGTTCTTCAATGCGTGAATAAACAAACTGTGGTTCATCCACACAGTGGAATACTACTTAGCAATATTAATGAATCTTCTGTCCACATCAGTCGCCAGTGACATATGCTTTGAGACACACAAAACCTTGTACAAATTTCAAAGGCATTATAAGTGACATATTCCAGTCTCAAGAAATTTTATGCTTTATGATTTCATTTATGTGACAATCTTGAAAAGACAAAACTATTGTACTAGAGAATAAATAGGTGGTTTCCAGGGTTTATTGGTCAGGGGGTGCCATGTTTATAAAGAAATGGAAGGGAGGAGTTATTTGGGGGTTATCCTGTATCTAGATTTTGATGGTTGTTACATGAATCTATACATAGACTCAAATTTCTAAGCTGTACACCAAAATAAAAATTGCTAATAGAAAATTCTGCTTTTTAAAAACATGATTATTTGTCAATGTAGGGTCATTGATTTTAACAAATGTACCACTTTGATGAGGGATAATATTGATAGTAGGGAGGGTGAGGCAGGGCACCAGGGGATTATAGAAATGCTATGTACCTTCTGCTCAATATTGCTGTAAACTAAAGCCACTGTCTAAGTAAAGTCTACTTAAAAAAACAAAAAGCAAAAATAACGTACCTCTTTTATCTTACTATATAGGATACACCAGCATAATTTTCTCAAAACAAACAAAACCATATGAGAGAAATTCAGTTCTATTTGCAAGTTTCATCTACTTTAAGCCCTGAAACATGAATCACATTATAGCAAGAGGACTCAAGGACTTAGCTACCTTCATGTATAAGGAGAGTAAATATCCATACACTTCTACTCAAAATATAATTTGTGATCTCAATAAATCATCCTGAAGCTCATGGCATGAGAACCTTCCCTAAAGAGTGGTACTCATGGGCACGTCCTGCAGGAAGCCCCTGACATTCAGTTCATCTTGTGCCTTAATCATGAAAAAACCCAAAACCTGTGAGGCAGAGTACTGCTATTACATATTTCTTATCACTATTCCTGTGAAGTCACTGAACTTCAGTGCCCAAAAGTTTCCTTAACTTGCTGCATGTCAAAATCTTTCTTGTTTCTCTCAGATGCATTAATAAAGGTCAACCTGCAGTAGCTCAGAATGGTAGAAATCAGACTTTGAAAACACCTGCAAGGTACCAGGCACCATTCAAGGTAATTAAAAGTGGTCTCCTTTGATCCTTGAATCCACCAAGTGAGGTACCTAGATATGAAACCACCATGGGAGGCAGGAACTCTGCTGCAGTGGAATCCTGGTTTGGGCACGTTTAAGTAAGTTGTCCGTGGACAAAACTTGAATAGGTGTCAAGGCCAAACATGGCAGAATTCCCATTTCCAGTTGCTGCTGAGATTATAGAACACAGGGCAGTGGCGTAAAAATGAAGCATATACAAACCAAAAAGGTAACCAAAGTTACTTGCCATTTAGAAACATTTCAGTTCAGGTTCATTTCTTTGGTTGATAGTTTTCTTTTTCCATCACCATTATAATACAATTACTTCCCCAGCTGGAGGTTAACATCCCATTCACTAGTTAATTTTTTTAAGCCATAATCTGCATTTTGCCTCTTTGTCCATGGAATCTTGCCTATAGCTACCCTCTCATTCATGAATTAATTTCATCCTCTCCAAATGAGCCAGAAAAGTTTTGTTAATATTGTATTCAACTGCAAGAATTTAATCAATGTTGTCTTTCTTTGCCAAAATACTGATAAATCATCATATTTTTTCCTTTCTATGGTCACTCCTGGAATCACTGACCATCTCTGAAGAGAAGACCTGGTAAAGCCTCAAGTATCTTTTGAGCAAAATCTGTTAATAGTTTTAAAACAAAAACATGGGAAAATATCATAGTTTGTATTAGAGATTTGACAATTATATCAATGAATATTATAAATGTTTTTTAAAACACTCATGTCAAAATCTAACCGCTCAGGCAAACTAAGAAAACCAGAATACTCAATCAATTTTTTTAAACTTATTTATCTCATATTTGTTCATACTTTTCTGCTAAGAATCCTGGGTTAAAACTTCTCAGGATTTCTGTTGTTGGTATTCCCTCTCCACTCTCTCCCTACCCCTCCAGCTCACTGGTCTGGCTGCTAGCTTTACCTTCTTTTTTAAATCCATCCTTCTTAATAAAAATATCAGATAGTTTTTTTTTAATAAAATGCAATTGTATGCCATAAACTCTCTTTTGAAAACTCTTGCTATTATTCTCCGTTCAGAATGAAACCAAATCCCTGAGTTCATTCAGAATTGGTCTCCTCCCTGTATTTCCAGTCCTACCTTTTCCTGAACTGGCTGACATCTGTTGCCCTCTGACAATATTGGATACCTTGCCAATCTGCTTGTACTTTTTGCTTAAGTTTTGTGCATCTGCACACATGCTATTTCCTCTACCCAGAAGGCCTTTCCTTCGATCTGCTAGAAATCTATTTATTACCTTCTCACCTCAGCTTGATGCTTACTTATTGCCTTTCTTTGCCTCCTCAGAAAGAGTTCAGAATGCCTTCCTTTGTATTCTCACAAAGCTGGGCTTTAAAAAAGAGTGGCAGTTCTCCTACTGTCATTCTCTCATTTGATATGGATACTCTCACAAATCACAACAACCTGTGTATCATGTTTCTATAAAATTTCAACATTTCTTCACTGAACACAATTCAGGATGGATGAGAAGGTGTGTCAATCTTATGATAACCATTTTTGCCACAGTTTGGTACACAGTCTACAGACAGAGAGCAGAGTGTCACTTGGTGGTGAAAGGAGTTAGCCAGCTTGCCTTAGGCAGACAGTAAGGGAGGGGTCCTCAGAGAACCTCTGACTCACCCCACAAGTGCTTACACCAGACGGTTTTGTGCAGATAAGGGAACTTGCACAGGGGTCTTGCCTAAACATGCCCACAGTAGAAAATTCTGTTGCTTAACACATGCACAGTAAGGGAAACACAGAAATATGGAGCAGCTCAGTCTGAGGGCTCCCCCACACACTGGAAGGACAGGTGGAGCCACCAGGAATTTGCACCTTATGCCCTGGTATTCAACTGTGAAGGAGGCAACCAGCAACCTGCTTATTCAGGACCCCTCTCTTTGTTGAGAGCTTTCCTTTCACTTCATACATTCTACTCCACTCACTCTCTGGTGTCCACATGCCTAATTTTTCCTGGTTATGAGACAAGAACCTGGACCTAGCTGAGCTAAAGAGCAAAAATCCTGCATCAGTGGGGGATAGTAAAAGGTGGGTGGTCACAACCCAGCCTTAGGAGTTGGAGCCTTGAATCCAGCAGTCTCTGGTTACATTCCTGATGTGGATGGCCACTGCAGGGTAGGAGTAAATGGTCAGTCTCAGCTTCAGTTAGTGTTAGAAGGCACTTTCTGATGGACACAGAGATTTGAGAAAGATGCCTAGGTTTGGAGTAGCATTGGTAGGTTCAATCATAGAAACAGCAATGCAAGACATACAGAAAGGACCCAAAATACCCATCAGATCTGATGAGAGAGGAAAACTGCCTGTGATAAGGCAGTACTACAGGTGGTAGTATCCTGGCTGGTCCAGGGTACTCAAAAAATAGTCTTTTATAAATTCCAGGATTTGAGATTTTCTCATCTTCTGCTCCCTACCCCTTGATAAGCACTGGGATTAAAATATGTAAAGAAGGTAGTTTCTTGAACTTAGTAGGTACTCAATACATTTTATTTTCATAATTAATGAATTAATTAATATTATGAAGGATACAAAACAATAGCTCTTTATTATAAATATTTTATAATGGTGGAATTTAGATTAGAATTTAGATGGTCCTACTATTTTAGTTATTTATTCATGGATATTGTATTTGTTAAGATTCTCTGGAGAAATATAATCAATAATGTGTATGGGTACATATATATATGTAATTTGGGTAAAATATGTATTATATATAATATATATGTACACATACACATATGTATACTGCTATTACCATATATACAAATATATTACCATATATGTATAAAAAGATGGGAAGGAAGGGGTATTCCTCACTTATAACAACATACGTACTGCTATTACCATATGGTAATTATGGAGGCTCATGTGGTTTGGACCTGTGTCCCCACCTAATCTCATGTTGAATTATAATCCCCAGTGCTGGAGATGGGACCTGGTGGGAAGTGATTATACTATAGGGGCAATTTCTCATGAATGGTTCAGCACCATTCTCTTGGTGCTGTTCTTTTAAGAGTGAATGAGTAGTGAGTTCTCGTGAGATCTGGTTGTTTAAAAATGTTTAGGACATACCCTGCTCCCCTCTCTCTATTTGGCTCCTGCTCTGGCCATGTAAAACGTGCCTGCTTCTCCTTTGTCTTCTGCCATGACTATAAGTTTCCTGAGACCTCCCAGAAGCTGAGCAGATGCCAGCATCATGCTTCCTATACAGCCTGTAGAACCATGAGTCAATTCAACCTCTTTTCTTTATAAATTACCCAGTCTCATGTGTTTCTTTACAGCGGTGTGAGAATGGGCCGTATGTAAGCTGAAGCCCCAGGAAAGCTGGTGGTTTAATTCCAGTATGAGTCTGAAGGTCTGAGAACCAAAAGAGCCAATGATGAAAATCCTAGCCTGAGGGTAGGAGACCAACGTCCCAGCTAAGAGGCAGGCAGAAAGTTTTTAAAAAGGGTGAATTATCCCTTCCTTTGCCTTTTTGTTCTATTTATGCCCTAAAATAGATTGGATGAGGCCTACTTATGCTGAGGAGAGCCATCTACTTTACTGAGTCCACCAATTCAAATGCTAGTGTTATCTAGGAACACTCTCAGAGTCACATCCAGAAATAATCTAGGCATCCTGTGGCACAGTCGAGTTGACACATAAAATTAAGTATCATAGATATATAGTAGCCCATCAGCAAAATATTCCCACATAAATGATAATATTATTTCAGAGAAGTGACCCACAGGAATAAAGTTTCTGTTTCACTGGTAGGTTGACACTGGAGCAAAAACATAGGTGAAAATAAAAGCAATGTGAATATATTTCATTGCAAATAAGCCAGTATTCAGAAGATTCCTGTTCTTCTAAATCAGAATCTCTCAACCTCTGCGATATCGACACGTTGAACTAGATAATTCTGTGTTGGGGACTGTGCTGTTCATTGCAGGATGTTGAGTACCATCCCTGACCTCTGCTCAGTAAAACCCAGTGGTATTCTCCAGTGTGACAGCCACAGATTTCACAGGCATTGCCAAAATTCCCTGGTGAAGCAAAATTTCCCTCAGCTGAGAGTCACTATACTAGGTTAAAGAATTTTGTATTATTAAAATGAGATAAAGTATGTAGAAACATTTTGCTCACAATTTTATGGCTTTCAGAAATTTGAGAATTAGTTATGTTTTAATTTTTATTCAGAAATAAGCTGTGAATCTGGTTTACCAAATAAGAATTGTACTTCTAATTGGAAACATTCTTGCTGCTTTCAAATACTTCAGTGGAATTGGCATGTTCTACTCTGGTGTCCTAGAAGTAACTTCTGGGGCCTTGAGATGTCAGATAATTTGCCTAAGGTCATAGGCTTTTAAGTGAAGATCTGGAATATCAGCTCAGGTTAGAGGGATTTCACAGATCATAGTAAACTCAAATAAACGATCTTTCTGTTTTACATAGTCTGTGTTTCATGATTTATTGTATGCTTTTAAAAAAATCACCCTGCTGGCCAGGCACAGTGGCTCATGCCTATAATCCCAGCCCTTTGGGAGGCCAAGGTGGGAGGATCATGAGGTCAGGAGATTGAGACCATCCTGGCTAACATGGAGAAACCCTGTCTCTACTAAAAATACAAAAAATTAGCCAGGCTTGGTGGCGGGTGCCTGTAGTCCCAGCTACTGGGGAGGCTGAGGAAGGAGAATGGCGTGAACCCGGGTGGGGGAGCTTGCAGTGATCCGAGATCGCACCACTGCACTCCAGCCTGAATGACAGAGTGAGAGTCCGTCTCAAAAAAAAAAAAATCACCCTGCTTATATCTTATATTTTGATACATTTCTACTTTTTGTCTACATTGTGTCTAGTCAAGTCCTAGATGTCCGTATTAGGATTAACTGGGATTTAATTGGGGATTTCCTGACCAATATGAAAATAAGATTTCGGCATCATGATTTGTGTTTGCATTCTATATGTCCCTTCCTTCTCCCCTTCAAATATGGGTGAAACATAGGATTAATGTACCTTTAAAACTCTCATTTCTCCTCCTTATTCTTCCATGATTTATTGTTAAATAGTCACTCTCATATTAAAAATGGCTATAAAGTATTGAGCAGTTTTCATGTAAAAATTTATTATTCTATCTTCCAAACTCCCCAGGAGGTCAATATTCTTAGTTTTTATTCTCATTTTATTGCAGCAAAATCTGAGAGGCAGAAAGTTGAGTACAAGTCACACAGCTCTCGTGTAGGAGCCAGGATTCAAATGTACATCTATTTCATAGTAAAACCCATATTCTTCAACTTCACCCTATACTAATTTTCATGCAAAGCCAGTCAGCAAAGATACAGATAAAGACCTTGCAGGAAATTTCATATTCATAATAATCATGCAAAACTCAGGCTCCAGAATGCAAATAAATAAACAAAGGCAATAACTTTATCTTTACAAGGGAGTTAAAATAGATATGACATTGTTATCAAAATATCCGTTTTGCTTTATCATTTGATAATTCTTATTTATTTTATTGTAGGGCTGTTCCTTGAGTTCAAGCCCCACTACATATTTCCTGATGTAAGCAGGTCTGGTACACATCCTTGCTGGGTAAAAAAGGAAAAACAACGACTGAGTGTGGTGTCTTGCGCCTGTAATCCCAGCACTTTGGCAGAATGAGTTGGGCAGATTCTTTGAGATTGGGAGTTCGAGACCAGCCTGGCCAACATGGCGAAACCCTGACTCTACTAAAAATACAAAAATTAGCTGGACATTGTGGCACGTGCTTATAATTCCAGCTACTTTGGAGACTGAGGCACAAGAATCGCTGGAGGTCGGGAGGCAGTAGTGAGCCAAGATTGTGCTACTGCACTCCAGCCTGGATGACAAGAGCAAGACTCTGTCTCAAAAAAAAAAAAAAAAAAAAAAGTAAACAACATGGAAAAAAAGAGGCTCCAGAGAAAATTGTCAATAAATACAATTATGACCCAAAAGAGTAGTGGGTTAAAAGAGGCCTCTTGAAGAGAAGCCAGTAAGGGAGGATTTATTTAGTTTTCGCTTTTAATTTAGTAAAGATTTAAATAACAAATTACTGGAGAAATGGTAAAACACAGAAATTTATATAGAATGTAAAGAAAAAATCACCTATTAAAAATAAATTCAGTGATAAGAATGAATTAGTTTTTAAAAGTATTATTAACTTCTTTTCCAATTTACTCGGCCAACGTGGTTAAACACCTACTATATGCCAGAATCTGTTCTACATCCCAGAAATTTAAAATGAGGCAGAAGAGACAGGAATGCAAAGGGTTAAATGTTACTCCACCTTTTTACCTGAACTTGAGATTTGAATGGGATTTGGACATAAATCATCACATAATTTTAGGGTTATTTAGTGAGTGAATTTGACCATCAAGTAATGAATACTTGTACTACTAAAGGCCTATTAGTGTGCCCTTTGGTCATATCAACAAATGCCTCGGGTAAATGGAGCAATTTAGGAAAATATTTGAATCCGTAATTTGGGAGGTAGGAGGTAGTTGGGAATGGATAGGAATAAGTCTTTTCACAGAAAAAAATGGAATGACTGAGATGTGAAGACAAAATAGCTTCTTTTCTGTTCTTTTTAAAATTTATTTAAAAGAATGCTCCCTGAGGAGAAAAATTACCATCAAGAACCCTCTATCATTTGGTCAACATTTCATATTATTTTATGTTTATTTTCACTGCTGATAAATCAGATATATCACCAATGGATTGTATATTTGATAAAGAAATTCTTCTAAAGACCAATTTCTACTTCTCTCAAAAAGTTTTCTTTTTTTTTAATTCAATTCTGCTTCCACAGTTGAAAACATTTGCCAAGTTTGTGTCACAAATTAGACATCTGAGAAGCAGGCAGCAAGTTTGTTAATTATTGGGATTAATTTCAAGGAACTTATTCTCATTAGACTTTATGAGCCATGCTATACACAGTAACGTGTGAAAGTCCACAACCACAACATAGTGATGTCAGTAGGTAATTAAGGGCACAAATGAGACTTTTTGCAGAAAAAACAAAGTGTAGCAAATGCTTTCTGTATTACCACATTATTAGATAGAATTAAGGGTTGATAATTACAGAGAATTAAGTAGAGATCATTTTGGTAGCTACAAATTAAGAGAGAAGTCAGTTTGGCTCTAAAAACAAATGTTCAATATACACATAAATCATAATGTTTCATAGCTGACACTTTATCCTGGGTGTGATGAGCTATGTAATAGTGTTTTACTGCCACATGATCTGGAAGTAGGCACAGTTTGTCATCAGAAAGATTTTTAAAGTGTTGATCTTTCAGAAAAACAATCTCACACTTCAAATGGCCTCATGATGGAAAACACATAAAACAGATGTCCTTTTTTTTAGTCTATTGGCACTTCGTTGTTATCATTCCTGGTATAAAGGAAAGTAGAGGAGATTGACTATGAATAAAATGTAAAAATACATGTCTCAACATCTCACCTCCACTTCTTCAGAAAGAGAAACCCCTGGAGGGTCACAGTGGATGAAAGTTTGGCAAGCAATCATAAATGGAAAGTGTTTAAAGAAGTAAACGTGGATCAATGGTGTCCTAAAAAAAAATTCAGTGTCTACTGTGAGATCAGACCTATGCTCATCTCACGTCTAGTCTATTAAAGCTATTTAAGTAAAATTTAGCGTATTGCTAGTACAGAATAGTGATGTTAAATGAAGGATTGGCAAACAGGAGTAAAAGACAACTATAAAAAGATTGAAGTGTTCTTAACATTATCCTGTGTTTTAAATGCAGCTCATAAACGATATACATATTTTCATGCATCTCACATTTTACAATAGATTAAAATATATGTGTTCTTATTACCAAGTGAGATAATAGACATTTAAGATCTTTTAAACCCTAGTATGTGATATAAATCAATGGAGTTGTTGATGATAATGCTGATGATGTGATTATTATTGTTATTTTCAATGAAACTCCAAGTTGGACATGGACTAATAAATGAGCCTTTCTTTAATGCCCTCCATGATCTTGACAAAGATGACTTAATATTATTAATTTTGTTTCATCCATACCTGAAAGAACTATAATCTGTCCTTTCAAACTTAGGATGACTTTTCCCTTTCCAGTGCTTGAACAGAAAGATTTGGCTTAATGCTGGGGCTGATTGCTACATAAGGAAGTCTCAGAGATGTCAGAGGAGAGCTGTCTTTTAGTTGTGGTGGAGATTCTAATACGGCCTGCAGAAGAATCTGTATGTATGTTCATACGCATACATCATATTATACAATGGAGCATTTCTTTTATGAGTTTCTACTCTATAATTTGAAATAAATTAAAAATTAAAAGTTTTAGTCTTCTAATTAGATGGCTCCTGTCATGCGTCTTTTCTAGTCCCTCTGCATGTGCTAACTTGCTGGTAGGTTGCATCCATTGAGGGTGTATGGGCTTGTGTATGCGTGTATTTTCTGTGTTTATGTTCTTGTCTTTTATGTTTGGTTGGGAGTGATAATATTCAGAATGGGTTTCTTAATTAAACTTAAAGATACTTATACCCTGAGGCTAGAGACAGGCATCTAGTAATAAATTAGATATAAATGAATAATAATAGAGAAGCATGACATTTAAATAGCAGACTTATAAATTTCATGTGAAATAGCTGCACTGCCTAGGTGAAAGCTTCAGTAGGATTAAAGCAATTTAATTAGTGCTATTTCAAAACGAAATTTCCAGGCCCATGTGACTTTCCTTAATGAAATCCTCCCCTTAAATATCTAGTTTATTTACAGGTGAAATGATAAAGAGAAGACAAGAGAGTTCTTCAAGACATTCTTAAACACTGCAAATCTCTGGAAATCAATTCCAATCAACACAACTTTATTGCAGAGTGGTTTTGAATGTTGAATGATTAAAGGAACATCTTTGATATTACAGCTATTGAGTTAAGTGATGCAGAAACAAACTATTTGGAAAGTGGGTACTAGGCTATTAGTTCATGGAAAGTGGACACCCTAAATGTTCATGGTCATAATCAAATTAGTGGAAAGTATATCCCTTATTGGGCATTCAGGCAAACATTTCATTTATTTTATAATATTTTACTTCATAATTAGACCTAGACATCTATGAGGGCTACTTTAGATAATGCCGATCTACTTTCTGGGTAGATAAGCACATAGGCAATGAAATGTGGTTAATAAAATAGATGTGTACAGGTATAAATGGAACATGGGGAAAGGAGGATTGACATTTTCCTTTTAAGACTTCATACCAGTTTTGTAGAGGAATTGTCAGTTGAGATGAGTTTTGATGACAGAGGAAGGATTTTTTTTTTCTTTTTTTGGTAGAAAATGAAGGTAATGTGGACTGGACCACTTTGGAGATAAGAGTGAATAGAAAACGGATGCTGGAGTTGAATTGACAAATTACTTCAATTATTTTAGCCCTATTTATCTTATTTATAAAACACAGATAATAATAGAATTGTGAAAATGGTATGAGAAAATCCATATACAATACTGACCCAGTGTCTGGCAGTTAGTAAACACTTAATAAACATCTGCTGTAATAATAACATTTTTATCTCAAGTATAGTGTTTTCATGATATTTGTTTTGTTTGATGTTATTGCATGTGACATGCTGATCTCTTGTCAGTAGTGAGAAATGGGCCTAGGTGGATACAGAGCGGACAGAGAAGATTTCATATAAAATCTGCACATACTCTTAAAAACAACGAAACAGCTGTTGAAGCATTTAAAAGTAGAATCAAAATATGTTACCCACACCTTCAAAGTGGTGAGGGAAGAAGTTTGAATAACAAGGATGAGTATATTTGTCCGTTTTCACATGGCTGTAAAGAAATACCCGAGACTGTATAATTTATAAAGGAAAGAGGTTTAATCGACTCACAGTTCCACATGCCTTGGGAGGCCTCAGGAAACTTACAATCATCACAGAAGGTGAATGAGAAGCAAGGAGCTGCTTCAAATAGTGGCAGGGGAGAGAATTGCAAGCAGGGGAAATGCCAGATGCTTTTAAAATCATCATATCTCATGAGAACTCACTCACTATCATGAGAACAGTAAGGGGAAAACTGACCCCATGATCCAATCACCCACCCACCTCCACAATTCAGGATTACAGATCCCTCCCTTGACATGTGAGGATTACAATTGGAGGGGAGATTTGGATGGGGACCCAGAGCCAAACAGTATCAAAGTTACCTACGGTAACTTTTGGAAGAACGGTCTTAATCATCATGAAGAAGAGAATACAGAAGATCAGGTCTGTAAGGTGAACATCTAGGTTTCTGTCAGAAAACGTGAATATCTAAATACAAATAATGTGTTTTGGGTGTTAGCTGTGCATGTGTTAATCCTTTGCATTTATTCTTTAATTTTCTAGCCACTGACCACCTTTTTTTGTTAGGTACAATGGTGATTTGTGAGAATGTGCTAGACAGCAAAATGGCTATGATTCCTGTCTTCTTAGATATGCATGTAGAGCAGACAGCAGATTGTGGGGTACGCCTGATAGGAATATTACAAGGAGTGAATAATTTGTCAGAAAATATCAGACATGAGTAAAATATGAGACCAAAATTTCTGTTCTAAGCCTTATCCCCTTCACCAGTTTTTCCTCTTCTACCTCCAGTCATGAGTATTGAAATAAAGGGAAGAGTCTGTTCAGATCTCTTACACATCTCTAGGAAGAAAAAATAAAATCTCTGCACTTAAGGTATTTTCCACTTCACCCCAACGTTACTTTTTCATTCACCTTAGGTTATTGATACTTAAAGTGAGTGAAGTTTACCTGTCATTTGACATAGCTTCATAGCTTTCTTGTCAGCCTAATAAATCTGAAAAGGTCCCATTGTCGCAAACTGGATACCCCAGATGGTAGACTCTAAGTCAAAAATTAGCACGCGGGTGGTGTATCAGGTAGTGGTCTGAGGATTACTACCTGTGGAAAGCAAGGGGCAACAGAGAATTAGACAAGGGGAAAGTTTGTGTTGAAATCTCAACAAAGACTTCAGCCAACTCTACAAATAGTTTCAAAGCAGGATGGGCTTTCTGAGTCCCGCAAGCTTGGTGTGAGGTGACTGGGGTTTTATATGCATGCATCTCCTGGTCACTGGGTGCAGGCTGCCATGGGCAGAGGCAAGACCTCAGGCAGGATGACTCTCCTCAACTATCTTAATGGGGAGCCTGAAAATCCAAATTGCACTTCAGAGTTTTTCTGAGCTTGGCTGAGGTTGCCTCAGCTGTTATTCATCCTTGCTGAATGGTCGCTGGATGTGAGCTGTCAGTGGGTAGGAGCATGACCTTGGACCAGGCCATTCTTTTCAGCCAAGGCGATTTTGAAAAGAGCTGATGGCAGGATGCTCTCTGTGGGCAGCTCCCCCAGCAGCTGGGGAGCTAAGTCCTTCAGTCCTGAAAGGAGTATGATTGTCACATCACAGCATCTCCTACACTGAATAAAGAAAAAAAGGTAACAAAACAATTTCACTTGAACACCTTTCTCCCTCATGATACCTCCCAAACTCTCTCTTTTCTCAGCTTAACTTCTTGCAAAAGTTGTCTCCTCTCTTGTTGCTACTTCTTTTAATCATAGTCCCCTGAACTCATAATGAGCAAATTTTCACTATACTCTGCCCTCTCCAAGATCCTCAAAGATATTCTAATTGCCTGGTTCACTCACCTCAATCCAGTATTTATTTCCTATCATTATTTTTTGCATTGTTAACACCATTAGCTGCTGTATTTCTTTTGAAAGTATCTTGTCTTTTTTTTTCTATAATATCCCATGGCTAGGCTTCTACCTACATCTATAATACTATTTTAATTATCTCTTTGATTCATATGCTTCCTGAAATTTAATTGTAGACACTGTAAATATTGGTCTATACATTCTTTTCCTTATAAACCTCTAGTCATGCAACCTTGACCTTTACCTTCACGCAGATAACTTTCAAATCCATATTTCTTATTCTAAACACTCTCTCAGGTTCCAAACATGCCTTTGCATGTGTATCCCAGATATCTTTCCATAGATTTCTTGATGGCATCTTAATTAAACCTGTCAAAAATACTATCCTATTTGTTCCTTCTGGTTTCTCTTTGGTTCGTGGTATCTTTATTTCAGTGTTTCTAAACTCACCCACCGAAAGGAATCCCTTGTAGAATTAGATCACCCAGCACAACCCCTGGAGATTCTGACTCACTACGTCTATGTTTAGAAGCCCAGGAAACCAAGTTTTTGACACTTTCTTCAGTCCTTAGCATTAGTGAGTTTTGTGAAACACTGCTATATGCCATCAAGTAGACGAATTTCAGAGTCATATTTATTATAACTTTCTCTTTTTTTATGCCACCTCTTGTTGATAAAACTCACATATATTGTATATATTTCCTTTTCTCAGGCTTTATTTCCATTCCTCTAATTGAGTTCCCCATCATCTTTCATATGGATTCACTTATTCGTTTTCTTTTTAATATATGCCTCTAGTTGTACTATATTTGAAAGTTCCTTTTTCTTCATTGTTGCCACTGTTATGTCTTGAAAAGAGATCTGGTCACATTACTTCTCTGGTTCTATGAGTAACAAGCCTAAAATACTGAATAGCACTGATTTTTTAAAACCTAGCTTTACTTTATGTTTCAGACCTTCTAAGCCCTGCATACTATAGCCACTCAAAAAGTAGCCTATTCATATTTTTCTTTAAATCTATAGCCTTATAATTCTTTGTCTACTTGATCAATATCTGATAGAAGTGTATGCAAAACTCCGATTATAATTGTGATTTTGTTCATTTCCAGTCTGTCAGGGTTTTGTTTGGTTGTGTTTGCTTTAGTCTTTGTAGGTCCTGCGTTGGATGCATACAAATTTATCATTGCTCTATTGTCTTGATCTTACTTTTTAAAATTAAATAATGTTGCTTTAAGTTTGTCTTTTTAAAAAAAATTCTATTTTTTTGGATACCTGAAATTTCACAATGATGAACTTTTGCTAATGTTGTCTCTTCACTCAGACATCAAATTTGGTCCAGTGAAAGTCTACTCTGTGTTTCAAGATGCCATTGCAATAATAAAACTTTCTCTCTTTTCACCAGGAAAATTCAGCATGTTCCTCTTACATATCTTGCATTGTCTGGCGTTTAATCAGTTAGTGACATAACTCTTTCCTACACTGGATTATAAGAATATGAGGATCACAACAACATTATAATCTTTCTTTGATTCTCCAGAATGCTTGCAACTTAGAGAATTTTATATAAATATTTATTGAATTGAAAAAATTATATTGAGTTTTAAAATTCTGGTTCTACCAAAATTTCCCTGACTTCCCTATGCCTTAATTTCTTCATCTCTACAATAGGGATTGATTTATTTTACGACTGTATAATTGCTATGTGTGTTAGAGACAAGAATAGTATGGGACCTATGACTGGTTTTAATATGTAGAAGACAAAATACATAATAATAATAAATAAATATAATATATATTTATATATTATATATTATATATGTATTTATAAATAAATAATATATAAATAATAAATAATTTGTCTATCTGAAATAGCAAGCATGTGAGATTTATATTTTCAAATTTTCCTACTATTCTACCTAGATTTTATTTATTTGAAAGTAAAAGTTACAATACAAATGTGATCTGTACTTAAATCCTGTAGTTGTCACTCTAACAACACATCTTTACTTTTATTGTAGGGGGATTGAGGGAACTGCTTATTTAAAAACAAAAGAAAACAACACACCATTACCAAAGTTAAAATATTTGGCATTCAACTCAAGGACAATGGAGAAACTATATTGAAATTATGGCTCTGTTCATAAGAGTGTAGTTTGAAGACAATCACAACTATTTTGGAAGGAAGTGGTGATTGTATCTCTTCTTTTTTTCCCCGTGTGACTATGAAGGATACAGTGGGAGTGGTGTTAGATGCTCTAAAATGTCTGCCTTTTGGAAAAGGAAAGAGGAAAGAAAAAAGGCAAATTGTAAAATTTAGTGTACATGAGCCACAGATTAAGTAGCAAACTGCTCATGTGGGACTTTATAAAATTGATCTTCTGAGTTTGGGGGTTTCAATTAGGGCACGTGACTAACACTTTTAAGGGAAATAAGAGCATAGAAACCAAAGTATAATTTTGCTTCTTAGAATCCTTTAAGAAAGGTAAGAGGACAATTGAAAGTGCAAACAGAAGGATTTGCAGAAATTCTGTGGTACAGAGAAGGGAAGAGAATCAACATTTCTTTCATACTGACATAACTCCATGTGCTTCTGAGGCAGGAAAAATAAGGATAGGGGGCCATCCTGACTCACCTCTTGTGTGAAGCCTCGAGAGCTCCTTTTGCAGTGGGTTCTGTGTCCCTTACACTGTTGTGCACTTTACTCTCTTGCAAGATAAACAGTCTTACAGGATACCAGCAGACTGCCTGATGGTGACAAGTTTCCGATACCAAATACAGCCCAGAAAAGAGGACAAAAGGCCTTTATTCATGATGTAGCTTCCCTAATCTCCAGCTAATCAACATCAAAAATCCAAAAAGCTATTAGCTACAAATTCCTGCCTTGGAGGGGATAGAGACTTCTCCAGGGTTCCGCATGTGCAGCTGGGTTCAAGGTTTAGCCGATAGTGGCCTTTTAATAGTAAAATTTTATATTTTAATTTTAATAGTAAAATTTTGTATTTTAATTTTAATAGTAAAATTTTATATTTTAATAGTAAAATACACACTCTAGGTGGAGATTTTATACGCTAATGATACATGCAGTGCATGTTAGAGCACGTAGATGCTGACCGCATGTGCCAACCACAGGTCTGCCTTTGCATACTTGACCTCCCCAGGATTTTATGAATATTTATGGGCAATTCCCATAAAGGGAATTCCCTTAGGGCACTAGGGACTGTCCTCCCTCCTTTTCAGCAGCCTGCTCTGCCTCTCAAGTGTACTTTTGCTTTGCAATAAACTTATTTGCCTTCTTTTACTTTAAACTCCCTCTCAAATTCTTTTGTGTGGTGAAGTCAAGAATCTGAGCTAGCCCAATGGCAATACTTTAACATTTTAAACCTCAGCACAAGAAAGGTTGGTTTTACTACCCCTGCTTTATAGATGAGCAAGCAGGATAAATAACTTGGTTATGTTTGTTTAACTAGTATCGTAGTCAGGGTTTTTCTTTTTTCCAGACGCATAAACATACTGAAACTTACTGAAATGATATAGGGATTCTAAATGAAGCTCCCTCTTTACGGACAAGGCTGCTGTGTATGGCTTTGCAGGCTGTACCACTGCACGATTTTAGGGAGAGCTGTGCATCACAGGGGCTGGGAAGCCAGGGTGTCTGAGGCAACTTGAAATTGGCATCTTGTTGAAACTTGGGCACTCCGGCTTTTGGAAATAAGTAAATGGTTATCTCCACTGTTCTCTGCCATTATTATTATTGTTGTTGTAGTCACTAGTACTGCTGCTGCTAATGCTGTCAGTGCTGCTACTATGGTAGTTATTCTCTGTTTAGAATGTCCATAAATTCAGCTGGTCCATGAACAATCATGTTCTTCCTGCCTATGTCAGCATGATTTTTCACATTCATGGTCTATGGCTGTCAACCTTCTTCTCTGTCTCTTAGTTCAAGTTTCTGTAATAATCTGATCAGATGAGCTTGTCACTGTTTTATACCAGACAAAGCCTTATGAGTCTTATTGGCCAATGACCAATAAGAATGCCCCTTTTCAGGTCTGGTTTATACCATGAGTGCAATTAGCTGAGGCCTGGGGTGAAGTTGTATGACACAGAGAAAATGTGGTGCATTCACCAGAAACAACTCCAGATGTTTTTGCTGAGTAATGGCTGATACATGTTAATGGAAGTAAAAACAATTTCAAATAATTTCTCATAAAGGCACATTTAAAACTTTTCAGTTACCTGTAAGCAGGATATCAAATTTTATGTGAATTATGTTCAAAATGGCAATTATGAAAGTTTATATAAAATAGATATAGGGTTATCTGTGAAATTTAACATTGGTTATCCCTCTATGCATCTACAGATCTACAGAGGTCACCTCGTTTTTCTTTTATTTCTAAAAACAGCTTAAAAAGGTTTAATAATTAAAATAATCAACTATTATTATATTGGGGGTCAACAATTATGTAAATTGTATATCGTTTATATATTTAATATAGTCTAATTATATATTACTATATTTTATATCATATTATTGTTGAAGTTTCAAATGTATTTTTAGTTTTATTAATTGATTAATGTTTTCTGTATTTTCCACAATCCCTTTTGTTTTACAATTTTATGACATTAAATGCAATATTTATATAAAATGTTAATATTTAAAATTATATAATATGAAATATGAGCAAACATTTATTTAATGTCTAATATTAAAAATCATTTGCAATTTTGGAACTAATATAAATGAATAAAGCTGTCACTTTCAATATGTATAGTATATAATAAAAATGTATATAATTATTCAATAGGACTCAATTGCTTTAAGTTCCTGGGGTAAAAAGAATCTCATCAAAAACAAAGCTTTCCAAAGGATTTGTTGTTTATTCTTGAAAAAAAAAAATTACAGTGGCAAGGAACAGCCAGTAGATCTGTGACTTTTTAGCATGTGCCTCTAACTTGAGTACTCTCTGACCTTCCAACCAGCAAGTGCAGGCTACGTGAGTGAGCAGGCGGGACCTGGATATTAACGTCTTTCCTAAAAGATTTGAAAACATTCCTCCTGTTTTAGTCCATCTTCCATTTCCATCTTCAGAGATAATGTGTGCTGTTAATTCCAGAGACTTCCTAGGATTCTGTTGTTGTTGTTGTTGTTGTTATAAATATCTATGCTTATTGTGTTAGTCTGGATCTTCCAAGAAACAGACACCAAGATGGGACTAAACATGCAGAGTGGGGAAAAGACCTGTATGAGAAGAAACGGGAAGGGGGTGGGAAAGCTCAGATAGCCTTCAGCTCATGATGAAATTCTGTCTCTGGATGGAGGAGAAAGCTAGGGAATGTTGGATTAAAGCATCCTAGATTTAAGTTGCTGTGCATACCCTAAAGATTTGGTAAAGCCATCTGGGTGTCCTTTAGCCAACATGAGAGCTGTCAGATGAGTTGTTTTTCTGGGAAATTGATTTGCCTTCGTGTAGATCTGCCTTTTTCTTTCTCTCTTTTTTTTTAATCTTCAATAAAGATCCTTTATAAAAAATATGCCAGAGGGTCCCCCTAGTGGCATGGAAGAATTATCCCATCCTAATGCCTCCTTCCAAACAAAGTCTCACTGATAAAGGCTACAGGCATTCTTTACTCCAGGCAACTGTAAGCAAAAAGATTACCATGTGACTTCATTTCCATAATGCTGCTAAGGCAGACTAGCTCTCCAGCCTCCCCACCCTGCTCCCTGCGCACTTTTTTTTCTAGCATGGGCAGGGAAAAATATCAAACAATCTGTTAATGAGCATTTGGTGAAGTGTAATGAATACAGTCTAATTCACTAATTGAGGCTCATTCCACAACTCTCCACTAATAAGCATCTTAATGTGCTTAACTGCAAGTGTCCAAAATAGTTATTGAGATGTGTGGAAATTTCCCATTCTGTATGTGAAAATTTTGATAATGTTGCAGCTTGATTAATTGAGAGAAAATTTTTCACTAACAATGAAGAAAATGTAAAAGCAGGAAAATCATATAATTACATCTTGTAAAATGGACTGACAAATAACATTATTGAAACAAATTATTTCCTGAAGTAACTTTTACTGCAGTGGGACACTGATTTCAGTTTCCATGTGATGTCACACAAAACTGACATTGAGAATTTATTTGATTAACTTGTTAAAAGATATAACAAATAAATTGGTCAATATTTTATTAATTATAAAAGTCAGAAAAGACAAATTTATGATTTTGGTTTCAACCAGATTTATTTTCTTCACCTTAAAAATGTACCTATTAAAGTTGAAATGAATATAATGAATAAATCAGTTATTATATAAAAACCTTCTCCCGTCTCCCTGTCTGTTTCTTCCTTTCCCATCCAATATCCTTTCTTCTTTTTGAGCTTCATTCCTATAGAAGTAAGAAAATTTCTCAAAATGATACTCTTCCATCACTACCTTGAGAACCACCTTTAGCTCCTTCCAGCTTTGACAGGAAAAGGAGTCTTTTTCTTTAGTTCTAGAAAGGGTCCTAATGTTAGCTTTGATGGTTTCTGGCTCTGATTGGATGATTCCTTAACTAATCATTATTAGGAAAAGGAAATGTTCTGATTGCCCACCTCTTCAGCAGGATGTAGCTTCACCTCTCAAACTACAGGACTGGAGGTGAGTAGCTCCCATAAGTGGGCATGGCTACTGGAAAGGCACAAATAAAGCACATCACCTACAACCAACAAACAGGAAACTTAAACTTGAAGAATTCCCCTTAGATAATCATCATATTCTCCTTTCAAGCCTAAGGTAGAATCTTTAGAAAGATAGACATTGATTAGCATATTAATAGCAGTGAGTATAAAGAGGTCACTTTCACTGCCGTCTTGGTTTTGGTGGGTTTTGGCTGGCTTCTTTTTTGCATTCTGTTTTATCAGTAGGGTCTTTGTGAACTGTATCTTATGCAGATCTCCTGTCTCATCCTGTGACTAAGGATGCCTGAACTCCTGGGAATGCAGCCCAGTAGGTCTCAGCATTATTTTACCCAGCCCCTATTCAAGATGGAGTTGCTCTGGTTCTAAGGCCTCTTACAGTTGATTCAAAGCCAAAAAATGAAAGCAGTGGTCAGGAGTGGAGACCAAGCTGGATCCCTCTTGTTTCATTTCCTTTATGGAACAGCACACCATTAGAGGGTCAGGTGGATCAGCCCAGATGTGGGAATAGGCTCACTGCTGGGGGAACTCTGGACATTTAGTACAGGTAAAAAAATATCCCTGGAGAAGTCAGAATACTTTTTTGTCTCATCAGGCTATGTTGTTTTGAGAAATACAGTGTCCAGGTAACCCTAGATAATGTAGCACATCTTTCTTCAATCATAAAATGCAAGTGATTTTTCTCTTCCCAGTATACCTATGAAATATTTTTATGACATTCCATGGAAAAACAGTTGTATCAATCTTTACTATAAATATTTCTTCTCAGTGGTAATATCTTCCTTGTAGTGAAGGCAAATCCATCTTTTTGTACTGATTTTATTCTTTTTAAAATTTTTTTTTTTCTAGAATAACCCAGTCCTTGGCAAGAAATAAGGAAAACTACTTAAACTCCATTTCCTGCTCTACCTGCCCCAGAATTTTATTCCTCAGCTCTGGTCCAAACCTCCCACTTACCAGCTATGTAATGAAGTCAATGTATTCTAAAAAGTTTAAAAATTCTTTATATCCATGTGCACAATCAGCAAGTCATTGGAATTTCCAAACAAATTCAACAAGCATAAGGATATATATGTATAGATACATGCTTATTGGCAGAATCTCTTCTGAATGCGAATGAGAAGAACTGGCTTAAGCTATATAAGGTCATTTACGTACCAAGAATGAGTGTGGCATTGATACAGGGGATAACTGAGGAATGAAGGAGATTCACTACATGTCAGAAAAAGTGCAGTGTTCATTGCAAACTATTGTCTGGGAGCCAATAAACCAAATCTGCTTCTATCTGACAATGCTGGTATAGACAAGTCGACTAATATCTTAGCCTCATTTTCTCTGATCTGAAACATCATTTCTCCCCTCTGACTCAGTATTCAGTAATTCTCCACCCCTAGAATTTCCTCCTCTACCTCTCCCTAGCCCTTGGGTCCATAAAACTATAGGAGCCTTTGTCCAGAGTTCCCCAGCAGTGAGCCCACTCCCGCATCTGGGCTGATCCACATGACCCAACCCTCTAACAGTGTGCTGTTCCATAAAGGAAATGAAAGAAGAAGGAGCCAGCTTTGTCTCCATTCCTGACCACTGCTTTCATTTTTTGGCTTTGAATCAACTGTAAGAGGCCTTAGAACCAGAGCAACTCCATCTTGAATAGGGGCTGGGTAAAATAATGCTGAGACCTACTGGGCTGCATTCCCAGGAGTTCAGGCATCCTTAGTCACAGGATGAGACAGGAGATCAGCATAAGATACAGTTCACAAAGACCCTGCTGATAAAACAGAATGCAAAAAAGAAGCCAGCCAAAACCCACCAAAACCAAGACGGCAATGAAAGTGACCTCTGGTTGTACTCACTGCTATTAATACGCTAATTATAATGCATTAACCTGCTAAAAGACACTCCCACCAGTGCCATGACAGTTTACAAACACCATGACAATGTCAGGAAGTTATTCTATATGGTCTAAAAAGGGAAGGAACCCTCAGTTCTGAGAATTGCCCACCCCTTTCCTGGAAAACTCATGAATAATCCACCCATTACTTAGCATATAATCAAGAAATAACTGTAAGTATACTCAGTTGAGCAGCCCATGACACTGTTCTGCCTATGGAGTAACCATTCTTTAATTTCTTTACTTTATTAATAAACTTGCTTTCACTTTACCCTATGGACTTGCCCTGAATTCTTTCTTTGCACCAATTCCAAGAGCCCTCTCTGGGGGTCTGGATCCCTTTCCGGTAACACAACTACTCTTGACACCTGGCACCCAGCTCTCCGTAGTTCAGCTGAGCTCCTCTCTTTCTCTCTCTCTCTCACATACAAGATGGGCAGCACTTAGATATTCATCATTTTAAGGAAATTGGCTTCCCTGGAACTTGCAAACATTCCATTAGTATATATCAATTTTTTACATACCGAATCTCTTTATCTTTCCATAACTTTTCTAATGGAATCGACTTCAGGAAATCATGAGATCTTGACTTGGCAAAGAAAACTTCCTTATAACCTTTTAATAGAATATCACATATATGACATGAAAAGAATGTTGACTAAAGGTAAGCCTAAGAGTACTGCGTTTCACAGTAGATTTTGGGTGGGTAGCTTATGTAAAATACATGAAGTAAGTTTAAGCCAAGTATCAGGCCTGACAAAGTGACGAGTTAGAATGGAGTTTGGAAATCAAGTAAGATAACCGAAAAAAAAAAAAGAAAAACAATTCATGATGTCTTATGGAATTCCTGTAATTGGGGTATACATTTGGTCTGATTTTCCTGGCAATCCAAGTGAAAGGGGGAATATAAATGATTACATAATTCTCCTTTTTCACATATTAAAAAAATGTGCTGAATCCTCAGGCATGGTTGGCACTTCCCAGAATTTCTCTCTTAAGTAAAGTTGTCACACAATGCTTCAGAAAGGAATGTGAAGGGATGAATAATCTTCATAAGGGGAGAAGACTTCACAGTCTTCTTCACAAAAATAAAAGAGTGATTAAAAACAAGCATCAGGGTGGACGTGTACCAGTTTAGAAAGGCCCAAAGAAATGACTTTGAAAATGTTGTGTCTTTCATCCTTTGGTAGTTCCTTTCCTTTGTGGGATCTTACCTCTTACTCTTATTATTCCCTAGAGGGAATTATTTTAAAGAAGTGGCTCTCAAAGTACAGTCACAGTACTGGTAACAGCAGCATTAAGTGGAACTTTATTAGAAATGCAAATTCTCGGGTCCACTTGCTGAGTCAGAAATTCTAGAGGTAGAGCCCAGCAATATGATTTAAGAAGCCTCCATATGCTTGGCATGGAGGCTCTACCTATAATCTCAGCATTTTGGGATCCTGAGGCAGGAAGGTCATTTGAGGTTAGGAGCTTGAGACTAGCCTGGGCAACATAAGGAGACTCTGTCTACAAAAACTTTAAAAATTAGTCCAGCATGGTGTCATGCACCTGTAGTCCCAGCTACTCAGGAGGCTGAGGTGGGAGGATCACTTAATCCCAGGAGTTTGGGGCTGCAGTGAGCTATTGATCATGCCACTGCACTCCGGCCAAGGTAGCAGAACAAGACCTCATCTATGAAAAAAATAAAATAAAATAAAATAAACCTCCATGTGATTCTGATGTACATTCCATTCTGAAAACCAGTGCTCTACAGCCTTATTTCTTGCCTCCTGCACATTATTCCTTCACTTTAGGATTCTCTACTAAAACTCTCTGACATCTAGACACATGATTATCTAGTTACTGTCTCAAAGGAGACCTCCCTCTATCTCAGTTAGAACCAGCTTCTTATGGCTTGTTGGGAAAATCTCATTTTATGAATAAAAAATAATGAATCTGTAACTTACAAAATGACTTCTATCAATCATGTTAACAACCTCAGCAGAAGGTTATCTTGGTAATTTATCTGTATCAGCTACTTCTCACTGTGACTCAGATATTTAGAGATGTAGTTGCAAATGTGCAATTAGAACAATTTGGAAGAGAGTGACTAACAAGGAAACGCAGTTGTTCTCTTAGCTGAAGATGAAGAAGCAGGGTCTTGCATTATGGCATGTGGTCTAGAACTTGTTAAACTAGAACAAAGATACCTGAAGTATCCTCTAGTACAAAACATAACCCTGAAGTTAAAGATCAGTAGAGCATCTATGTGGTTCAGGCATTTCATTTATTCAATAAATAGGAACTTATGTATACATTTATCTCAAAGAGTATAAGTACCTTCAAATGTATTTATGATTGTGCGTATGCTAGCCTGAGGTAAGAGCGCGCCATCAAAACTAGAGTACAATGCCAAGCTCAAAAATGCTGACTTGTCAAAGCATTCTGATATGGTAGAAACATGAGGAACTATGCCAGAATTTAAATTTAAATTTTTCAGTTACTCTCATGTGATCAAGAGTGAATTACTAAATCTTTCACAACTGTTGTTTATTCATTTAGAAAATTTGATCTGTGATATCTACTTTATTGAGGTAATATTAATATGTAAAACATTTGTGGAACATAGGTTTTATATTTGTTCACTTTTTGTTCCCCTGCATTCCTTTCCTGGCTAGTAAATACTTCTAAAATTTAATCATTAAGATGTAGAGCTTTAAATCTGGGTTAAAAGTAAGACCTAGAGATTTCACATGTACTTACTTTTTATCCATGATATTGGTGGATATTACAAGAAAATGTATATTTCTCCCTTAACTACATTTTGTTATATATATAGTCTGTAGTTTATACACAAAAAAGAAGTGCCTTACCACCTAGAATAGAAGTTGTCATGATCCAAGTGGACTTCATAAATTAGTTGTGTATTGAACTAGAACCCTGAAAGATTGATTTTGACATAGCCTGGAAAAAATGAAGTGTAAAAAGAAAGCTGTTGGTAGAAGAAATGGGTGACTAGGCTTAGTATCTCCTAATTCTGTGGTGAAAAAAATATATTGATATAATTAAATTTATATTAGTGAGCCAGTAAATGCATGGGACCAGAAATTCTACTCATTAGTGGCAATGGGTGGATAAAACCAGCACTCTGACCTAAAGACAGAAATAGTATTAGACTCAGCAATCCTATTACTGAGTATATACCCAAAGGAATATAACTCATTCTGTTATAAAGACACATGCACGTGTATGCTTATTGCAGCACTATTCACAATAGCGAAGACATGGAATCAACCTAAATGTCCCTCAATAATAAACTGGATAAAGAACATGTGGTACATATACATCATGGAATACTATGCAACCATAAAAAGGAATGAGGTCATGTCCTTTGCAGGGACATGGATGGAGCTAGAGGCCATTATCCTTAGCAAACTAAAGCAGGAACAGAAAACCAAGTACCGCATGATCTCACTTATAAGTGGGAGCTAAATAATGAGAACACATGGACACATAGAGGGGAACAACACAAACTGGGGTCTATCAGAGGGTGGAAGATGGGAGGAGGGAGAGGATCAGGAAAAATAACTAATGGATACTAGGCTTAATACCTCGGTGATGAAATAATCTGTATAACAAACCTCCATGGAACATGTTACCTATGTAACAAACCTGCACATCCTATACTTGTACTCCTGAATTTAAAATAAAAGTTAAAAAAAAAACACCCTTCCTTCTTAAAGCTTAGTAAGAGGGAAGACTGGGAAAATCCACTAAGGGTAATTTTTAGATATGCAATATTTTATTTTAAGCTTTTGCCTGGATAGAAGTTTATACTACTTAGTCTAATTATGAAGAAACTTCTCCAAAATTTTCAAGTATGTGAGTTACAACCCTTTAGGATGCACTATCTCTATTTTTCTTTAAGAACTTCCTACTTTCTGACACAATAATGATCAGTAGTAGAGGATCAGTAGTAGATAACTTACCTTACTGGAAGCCCTGACAAAGTTTTTGCATTGGACTGACCTGTGATGAATAGCTTCAGAACCAGAAAGGCTAAAGTTTGTTTTGCTTCCCAGATTTCAATGGAAACTTTTTTTTTTAAGTTCTTGAAATATCTGAGCCAGTTTTTCCATTTGTAAAAGGTGTCATCTGTAGCAGAGTTCAAAAGTTTGGCAAGAATTTTTATTTCCAACAATGCAGAGGATGATATCAACTTTCCCCATTACTGATTATTCAATATCACACGGTTAAGTTCTGCTAGATTTTTCCATTCCAAGATACTTAAAAAAATACACTTTTAGTCTTATACTATGGGGTCTTATACTTTGAGAAGTTTACAATTAAGGGGATTTCATATGAGATTATAAATTGAGAGCATGTGAATATTCTATGTCCCCAAAATAATGTTATTTAAACATTTAACATTCAGTAATAATCATTGTCTGGAATAACTGATAAATTGGCAGTTGTATAATGGTGATTTTTGTAAAAAATTATGTCACTCTTTATATAATTACTAGCTGACATTCTTTTCCCCCCAGTAAGTTTTCCCATTTCTTCCTCCTCTTCCTTCCTCTTCTTATTTCTGATAATTAATATTGAATATTACTACATATTATATTCTAGTACTTCTAGTATTATTTTTGATGTCAAACTGTTCACAATTTGGACAGTGATAGGATAGCCAGATTAAACTGACTTCTGTCTCTTTTGACACACTATTTCTATTTTTCCTTGAATATTTCCTACTTTCTGACATAGTATGATATTCCTCATCCTTATTTATTCTACATGTTTTAGTAACTTGAAGTTCTCTGTCTTATAATTATGCTACAAGAATGAGGTTTAGGTAGCTGTGTTTGTTTTTGTTGCCTTCCTTCCTTTACTTCCTCCTTTCTACCTTTCTTCCCTTTTTTCATATTTTTTATTTTATTTTTGAGGATGTGATACAAGTTTTGGAAATATAAAATTATGGTCACTATAACCTCAGCTATTTAGAATTCCTTAAGTCTAGGATTTTTGCTAGATTATATCTCAGAGTTGACCATTCCAGATCAGTTTCCCATGTACCAATACACTTTTAAAATATACATGTTCAACTTAAAGACACAGACTAGTGACACTATAAAGCAACCACACAAACAAGTCTGCATAACAACCACCTAACAATATGATCACATTATCAAATTTACACATATCAATACTCGCCTTGAATATAAATGGGCTAACTTCCCCAGTTAAAAGGCAAAGAATGGCAAGCTGTATAAAGAAGCAAGACCTGGCTGGGTGCAGTAGCTCGTGCCTATAATCCCAGCACTTTGGGAGGCTGAGGCGAGAGAATCACCTGAGGTCGGGAGTTTGAGACTAGCCCGACCAATATGGAGAAACCCTATCTCTACTAAAAATACAAAATTAGCTGGGCGTCATGTCACATGCTTGTAATCCCATCTACTTGGGAGGCTGAGGCAGGAGAATCACTTGAGCCTGGGTGGTGGAGGTTGCAGTGAGCCAAGATCATGCCGTTGCACTCCAGCCTGGGCAACAAGAGTGAAACTCCATCTCAAAAAAAAAAAAAAAAAAAAAAAGAAGCAAGACCCAAGGGTATGCTGTCTTCAAGAGACCCATCGCCCATGTAATGACACCCAAAGGCTCAAAATAAAGGGAGAGAGAAAAATCTACCAAGCAAAGAGAAATCAGAAAAAGCAGGGGTTGCAATTCCAATTTCAGATAAAACAGATTTTAAGCCAACAAAGATCAAAAAAGACAAAGAAGACCATTACATAATGGTAAAGGGTTTAATTCAACAAAAAGACTTCACTATCCTACATATATATGTGTACCCAACACATGAGCACCCAGATTCATTTATCAAATTCTTAGAGAATGTCAAAGAGTCTTAGACTGCCACACAACAATAGCGGGAGACATAAACGCTCCACTGACAATATTAGACAGATTATTGAAGCAGAAAATTAACAAAGATATTCAGGACCTGAATGCAACACTTGACCAAATGGACCTAATAAACATCTACAGAACTATCCATCGAAAAACAAGAGAATATACATTCTTCTCATTGCCACATGGCACATATTCTAAAATCCACCACACAATTGGGCACAAAACAATCCTCAGCAAATCAAAAAAAACCCCTGAAATTATACCATCCACACTCTTGGACAAATGTGCAATAAAAATAGTATTTAATATGAAGAAAATTGCACAAAGCATACATTTATATGGAAATTAAGCAACCTGCTCCTCAGTAGTGACTTTTGGGTAAATAATAAAATTAAGGCAGAAATCAAGAAGTATTTGAAACTAATGAGGACAAAGATACAACATACCGGAATCTCTAGGACACAGCTAAGGTAGTGTTAATAAGAAAATCTATAGCACTAAACACCCACATCAAAAAGTTACAAAGATCTCAAATTAACAGCCTCACATCACAACTAGAAGAACTAGAGAACCAAGATCAACCCCACCCCAAAGCTAGCAGAAAACAGGAAATTACCAAAATCAGAGCTGAACTGAAGTAGATTGAAACAGAAAAAAAATCACAAAAAAAATCACAATATCCAGGAGATGGTTATATGAAAACATTAAGCAGATAGCTAGGATGCTAGCTAGATTAATAAAGAAGAAGAGAAGATACAAACACACAATTAGAAATGACCAAGAAGACATTACTATTGACCCCACAGAAATATAGATAACCATGAGAGACTACTGTGAACACCTCTAGGCATCCCAACTAGAAAAGCAAGAAGAAATGGATGAATTATCGGACACATACACCCACCCAAGCTTGAACCAGGAAGAAATTGAATCCCTGAACAGACCAATAACAAGCTCTGAAATTAAGTCAGTAATAGATAGTCTATTAATCAACCAAAAAGAAAAAAAAAGCCGGGTCAGTTGTGGTGGCTGACGCCCATAATCCCAACACTCTGGGGGCTGAAGCAGGTGGATCATGAGGTCAGGAGATTGAGACCATCCTGGCCAACATGGTGAAATCCTGTCTCTACTAAAAATACAAAAATTAGCTGGGCGTGGTGTCGCGCACCCCTAGTGCCAACTACTTGGGAGGCTGAGGCAGGAGAATCGCTTGAACCTAGGAGGCAGAAGTTGTAGTAAGCCGAGATTGCACCACTGCACTCCAGCCTGGCAAAACAAACAAACAAACAAACCAAAAACAGATACAGACAGATTCACAGCCAAATTCTACCAGATGTACAAAGACCTGGTACCATTCCTACTGAAACTATTCTGAAAAATTGAGAAGGAGGGATTCCTCCTCAACTCAATCTGTGTAGTCAACATCATCCTGATACCAAAACCTAGCAGAGACACAATAAAAAGAGTGTATGTTGAAATACAACATACACGTAAACATAATCAATAAATGTAAATCTTCACATAAACAAAACTAACGATAAAAAGTATGATTATCTTAATAGGTGCAGTAGAGTTTTTCAATGAAATATAATAACCTTTCATGTTTAAGACCCTCAGTATACTAGTCATAGAAGGAATATACATGAAAATAATAAGAGCCATTTATGACAAGTCCACAGCCAACATCATACTGAATTCATAAAAGCTAAAAGCATTCTTCTTGAAAATTGGCATCAGATAAGGATGTCCTCTCTCACCACTCCTATTCAACATAGTATTGGAAGTCCTGGCCAGGGCAACCAGGCAAAATAAATAAATAAATAAATAAAGGACATCCAAATAGGAAGAGAGGAAGTCAAACTATCCCTGTTTGCAGATGACATGATTCTATATCAAGGAAAATCCCATAGTCTCTGCCCAAAAGCCCCTTGAGGTAATACATTCAGGGAAGTTTCATGATACAATATCAACGTACATAAATCAGTATCATTTCTACACATCAAAAACATCCAAATGAAGCACCAATTCAGGAATGCAATCCCATTCTTAATTGCCACACACACACACACACACACACACACTCACACCCCAGGAATACAGCTAACCAGGGAGGTAAAAAGATCTCAACAATGAAAATTACAAAACACTGCTAAAAGAAATTAGAGATGATGCCAGAAAATGGAAAAATATTCCATGTTCATAGATAGGAAAAATAAATATTGTTTAGATGACCCTACTGCCCAAAGCAATTTACAGATTTAATGCTATTCCTACCAACTACCAATGACATTCTTCACAGACCTAGACAAGTCTATTTTAAAATTCAGATGAAACTAAATAAGAGCCTGAATAGCCAAGGCAATCTTGAGCAAAAAGGAGCAAAGGTAGAGGCATCACGTTACCCAACTTCAAACTATGCTACAGGACTATAGTAACCAAATGCAAATGGTACTGGTACATAAACAGACACATAGACGAATTGAACAGAACAGAGAGGCCAGAAATGATGCTGCCCATCGCAACCAGCTGATCTTCAACAAAACTTACTTAAACAAGCAATGAAAAAAGACCCCTTATTCAATAAATGGTGCTTAGATAACTGGCTACCCATATGCACAAGTTTGAAACTGCACCCCTTCTTGACACCATATACAAAAATTAACTCAAAATGAATTAAAAACTTATATGTAAAACCTAACATTATAGAAACCCTGGAAGATAACTTGGAAATACCATCCTGGAAATCGTAACTGGCAAAAAATTTATGACAAAGACACCTAAAGCAATTACAACAAAAGCAAAAATTGACCAATGAGATCTACTTAAACTAAAGAGCTTCTGCACAGCAAAATAAACTATCAACAGAATAGTGAGACAACCTACAGAATAGGAGAAAATATTTGGAAATTATATATCTGACAAAGGTCTAGTATCCAGAATTTATAGGGAGGTTAAAAAAATTATAAGCAAAATTAAAAAAAACACCCACCACTAACAAGTAGACAAGGATCTGACAGACACTTTTCAAAAGAAGACACACATGTGGCCAAAAAACATATGAAACGTGCTCAATGTCACTGCTCATTAGAGAAATGCAAATCAAAATCACAATGCGATACCATCTAATACCAGTCAGAATAGTTATTATTTTAAAAATACACAAACAGGTGCTGGCAAGGTTTCACAGAAAAGTGAACACTTATACACTGCTGGTAGGAGTGTAAATTAGTTCAACCACTGTGGAAAGCAGCATGGTGATTCCGCAAAGAACTAAAAACTGCACTACCATTCCACTCAGCAATCCCGTTACTGGTTATATACCCAACAGAATATAAATTGTTCTACCATAAGACATATGCACATGTACATTCATTGCAGCACTATTCACAATAGCAAAGATGTGGAATCAACCTAAATGTCCATCAATAATAGACTGGATAAAGAAAATGTGGTACATACGTGCCATGGAATACCATGCAGCCATAAAAAGGAATGAGATCATGTCCTTTGCAGCCACATGGATGGAGCTGGAGGCCGTTATACTTAGCAAACCAACACAAGAGCCGAAAACTAAATACTGTATGTTCTCAGTTATAAGTGGGAGCTAAATAATGAGAACCAATAGGCACAAATATAGGAAAAACAGACGCATGGGCCTACTTGAAAAAGGAGAGAGGGAGGAAGGACAGGATCACGAAAAATAACTATCGGGTACTATGCTTAGTACCTGGATGATGAAATGGTCTGTATACCAAACCTCCATGAAAAGATTTTGCCTGTATTAACGAACCTGCACATGTATCTCTGAACCTAAAATAAAAGTTAAAAAAGATAAATATATATGTTTAGTTCTGCTTTTATAGCCCTCAAATTTTTTGGATTCTAGTTTTAAATATTACTTCTCATCCATGGTTTTGTTTTTCATCTTGGGGAATAGATTATCCTTAACTTTCTTCTACCTCCAACACTGTCTCACTGCTTTTTGCCAATTTTATCCTTCTCTTTAATTCCTTTTAGGATATTTTTAGCCAATTCCATTTAACAATGAGCATGCACTGAGCATATTTGTAGTTTTTCTATACTTGTAAGATTTTTTTTCTTTTTAAAAATTTCTTTCCTAAATTTGTCCAGTTTTCACTTTGCCTGTTTCTCTTGTTTGGCCAGTACTCTTCTGAGTTCATGAATTTCTGACTCAAGACGTTTTGTTTTCTACTTTAAAGATTTATTGAAAGATATTTAGTTCAAGGTGAGATCTTATGATGTATCTCACTTCTGCTCTGAGGTTGAGTTTTTGGGGTAGAAAATTTTTCATCAATTGAAATATTTACTGTTGTTTGTTTTTCTTCTTATACCCTAGTGGTATATCTCATTAGACATCTTTTTTTAACTTTTTATTAAATTTTAAATGCCTTATCTTATCCTGGACAAAAAACAACAGATGATTTCATATTGACAAAGTGAAGAGTTGGGGTAGTTTTCTAGGTTTCTTAGTTTAAGAGCAACTTTCTCTTTGTCACAGAGAAGTGCAGATTCTTTAGGAAATGATACCCTGTGGAGGAAGGCTCAGTTCGCCTTCCAATTTTATGATTCATTCTCTCTCTCTCTCTTTGTCTTTCTCTCTCTTCGCCATCAAGTCTACAAATATGTATCTCCCTTTCAAGTCCACTTCTTACCAAAATATTCTGTCTTCCTAACACTGTTTTTTTCTGTTCTCACACATTTTTTAACTACTTTCATCCAATTTCACAATATCAAGTGCCATGGTCCACTAGATCTCAGTTATGTTCTCATTATTTCTTCAATTAGTGTAGAAACTTTTTTCTTAAGGCAATTTTTATCTGCGTTCCACAGTGATGGACATCTGCTGTGTTTAATTTTTATTGTTTCTATCTGATCTTGTTTCAGCATGAACTCTGGAATAGAATCTGCTGGGTTTTGTATGTATTCCCTGACTGCTTGTAGCTTAAAGATTGTATAATTCTGCATACTGTAGTTTTATGGTATGTGTGGGTGATGGGTTATTTGTTCTCCTTGTTAATGGGTATGGTTTTTAAAGGATAGATAGAGAGATTCTGATTTAGAAAGACTCTGTTTTCCTATGGTACCCCAAAAAGTCCTTTATTTCATTTAACTTTGGCCACAGACAGCTCAGTGATGGAGCTAGAACTGTGAGAACAAGAACAATATTTCTGTATGCAAAATCAGCATATAATCATGGAATAATATTTGTGGACTTAGTACTCCAGCCCAAACCTAGGGCACTGAGTCCATCTCACTATGGTATAGAGATTTAACACTAGCTATGATCTCACGAACACAGGGTTTAATGAGCAGAAAAACAGCAGGTAAATCAGCAAAGAATTTATACAGAGGGACTCAGGTTTATGGGTGTCTGATGTAATGGAACATATATTATTATAACTGGTCAAAAGTATCAATAAAAAAACTGAGAGACTATTTACAATATGGCTTTCAGATCACTTTTTATTTTGGTTGGTAAAGCAATCTTCTCAGTATCTAACTAATATAATTATTAGGTACTCTTTTCTTCAAATTCATTATTGAATTAATGAATGATTTCAATGATAGATTTCAATGATAGATTAAGAAAATGTGGCGCAAATGCACCATGGAATACTATGCAACCATAAAAAGGTATAAGTTCATGTCCTTTGCAGGGACATGGATGAAGCTGGAAACCATCATTCTAAGCAAACTGTTACAAGGACAGAAAACCAAATACCACATGTTCTCACTCATAGGTGGGAGTTGAACCACGAGAACACATGGACACAGGGCGGGGAACATCACACACTGGGGCCCATAGGGGGTGGGGGTTGGGGGAGGAATAACATTAGGATAAATACGTAATGTAAAGGATGAGTTGATGGGTGCAGCAAACCAACATGGCACATGTATACCTATGTAACAAACCTGCACATTGTGCATATGTACCCTAGAACTTAAAGTATAATAACAATAATAAAAGAAGCTATTTCCATGTCAAAAAAAGAGATTTAGAAAAATAGCAATGGTTTAGACTTTATCATTACCCATTATTCTTCCTCAATGATGGCTTTCTTTGACTTCTTTTCAACTTTCCATCCTCCACTTCTCCCCCCTAAAAACAAACAAACAAACAAAAACCAATTAAGAGGCTCAACTCTTATCCATTTCCAATCACAAGCTACCGCCAGTTTGAAGCCCATGAGCGTTCTAGCAAACTCACTCAAAGCAAAGTGAATGATTTCTGGGGTACTTATTTAGAGAGATATTTGCATGAAAAAGATGATATTGGAAATGCTAGGTTGCTCTCCACAGTCTTTAATTAATAGAGGACAGTGTAAAAATCTCCCTTAAGCTGTCATATCTGTGAACTTTTTCTCCTAAGCAAAAAACAGATGGGACAACACACCTATCCACAGCCTTTTTACTGAACCAGTTGCCTCGGTGTTATGGTTGTTTTGTTTGTTTGTTTGTTTATTTGTTTGCAATGTCACTTTCAACTCACCTTTTGATATTGTGACTTTGTTCCCCAGGGCCTTGCAGTGTCTTTCAGATTCTATCCTAGTCTTACTGGTTAAAACCTTTGTCTCCTCACTCTCAATCATGACTTGAGTTTTTCTCTGGCTAGCCTGTGTTAATATATCTTTGATAAATTCTATGTATGTTTAGATCTGGACAAATATACATCTACCTCACTGAGAAGAACTGCCACTGAGATCATTCTCTGTGTGCCAGTGGGAGCTAAAGAGTAATTGATGGCTTCAAAGGTCATTAAACATTTAGTGACTACCTGCCATGTAACAGGCAATGTATTAGTGGTGGAGATGTAATGGTGAGTGAGAGTGATATGATCTCTCCCTTTATAGAGGTTTCAGTTTCGTAAGATAAAGGAGCAAGTCACCATGTTTTCCAGTAAAAATGAGTAATGTAATAAAAAGGAAGTCCATTTTACCACAGGAAAACTAGGGTATACAAAATGAGATGAGAGAGGGTTCTTATCCTTTAAAGAGACTCTGAATTGAGACCCACAGATGAGGTGAAGTTGTAAGATTGGAAGCTTGGGGCTCTTATCATGTTGTCTCAGCCATCTCCAGCTAATTCAGCCACCCCAGATGAGAGTCCAGTTGCAAAGCAGAGAAAATTAATTCCCACTATGCATACCCAAATTATTTCGTTTTGCTTTGTATTGTGTTTTGTTTTTAAGGGAGGGTCTCACTCTGTCACTCAGGCTGGAGTGCATTAGGGCAATTACTGCTCACTGCAGCCTCAGTCTCTAAGGATTCAAGTGATTCACCAAGCTCAGTCACCCCAGTGCACAGACTGCAGTTCTGTGCCATCATGCCTCACTAATTTTTTGTATTTTTTGTACAGATGGGGTCTCACATTGTTGCCCAGGCTGATCTTGAACTCCTGGGTCCAAGTGATCCTCCCGCCTCGGCCCCCTAAAATGCTGGGATTATAGGCATGAGCCACAGCACCTGGCCCCATTACCCAAATTCTTGATCAAAACAAATTCATGAGCGTAACAAAACACGTGTTGCACTATGCATTTATTTGGGGGTTACTTTATAACACAGCAACAGTTGACCATAACAAAATGTGTTGTCTGTAAATGACATGCCATCATAATAACTATAAACTTAAAGCCTGTGGCACTGACTTTGAAATGGTGGATGAAAGTCCGAAATTTCTTATGAGTGGTGAGGAGGGACCAAAGAACAATGAGGAATGCTGTTGGAGATTGGAGGAAAAGAGACAATTGTTATGTAGTGGCAGGATGTTTGGCAACACTGTTGTGTGAGGAAATGTGGAAGATAGAAAGGGCATTTAATTGACTCATGGGTGGGAGATTTGTAGGCAAAACATTTCAGAATGGCAATTAGCTTTTTCAAGCTTACTATATTAAAATATAACAAGAGGAAATTGAACTAAAGAAGGAGATGTTGAGTTTTTGAAGGTAATTTAATGGAATCACAAAGAAGTAAACCTTGCTAGTTCTAAAATAAAACTGACTTTTTTTCTCTCTCTCTATCCCAGTAAAAGATTCACATAGTAGAAAATGACTTTAGAGCATAAAAGATGTCCAGTGTAGGCTGTAATCTCTGTGAAGATGTCAGAAATATATAAGGTATATACTCTAGAAACTTTCAGCTATACAAAAAACCTGCTATATAAGCACTTTAAGAAAATAACTGATAGATCCTCTCTATTATGAAACAGTTTCTAAGAATCTCAATGCCATTGATCCATATTAGTTCTATATAGGCCAAAGATAGAGAATATCCCATCTCAAAGACATGACTGGGCATAGCTGTTACCTAAGAGAACTACAATAATATCCATAGGAAACCCTAATGTATTAGTCTGTTATCACACTGCTACAAAGACATACCTGAGACTGAGGAATTTATAAAGGTAGGAGGTTTAATTGACTCACAGTTCTGGGTGGCTGGAGAGGCTTCAGGCAAATTACGATCATGGCGGAAGGCAAGAGAGAAGCAAAGGCATATTTTATGTGGTAGTGGGGGAGAGAGAGTGAGGAGCGAAGGGAATAGAGCTTCTTATAAAACCATCAGATTTGGTGAAAACTCACTATCATGAGAACAGTATGAGGGAAACTGCCGCTATGATGCAGTCACCTCCCACCAGGTCTCTCCCTAGACCTGTGGGGATTACGGGGATTACAATTCAGCATGAGATTTGGGTGGGGACACAAAGCCTGACCATATCACCACGTGAAAGAATAAAATTAGGAGAAGTATTACCATTTTTGGACTATAAGACATAGAGACATTAAACAAATACATTAGATATTTGGACTGCCAAACTTTCTAAGAGCAGGAAGCAAGCTGAAAATGCAAACAGGAGCTATTTACTGTGGGAAAATGAGGATGACTCATATGAAAAAATGAAGTACACAGAGAACAGAGGAAAGAACCATGGGAAATTATTCCTACTGTATCACCTTTTAGTGTTGAGTATATGTGGGATATGAGACTGATTTCTACGTTCTCAAATCCTCAAACAAGAGGAATCTTCTGGATGAATCACATATGAAGAGTTTCATGTAAACCTGGATATAATTTTTATTACAAGATCCTGGACTTGAGTCAATGCTATAATGGGACAACATTTGTGGAGTTTTGGAGAGTGTAATTATACTTTTCACTAGGAGTAAATAATTTATAAAGACAGGGTGGTCTGTGTAGAGGAAAGATGTCTCCAAATTCCTTGCTAATTATCTCATTGAAAGAAGAAACCTAATCTCTTTTTCCCTGAATGTGGATTGGCCTTATTATCTTACTTGACCCACAGAACGTAGCAGAAATGGCATTCTAGGACATTGACAAAATAAGTCTAGGGGACACCAGATGCCATGTAGAAAATTTAAGTATCCCGAGACTGTTATGCTGTGTGCAGAGATTTGTAGGCAGAGAGAGAGGTGGGGGAGGGAGAGAGATTGAGAGATTATTCTAAGTGTCTTTCTGTGCATGTGTTGGATATTCCAATCCTAGCAAAAATAGTGGAAGAACCAAGTAATCCAACTGGCAGCCAGAACTGAGGACAAAGACAGATGGACCCATTTAATCAAAACAAACCATTTCCAGGAGTGTGAGTCAGCCTAGTTGAAGACCACATTCAGTCAGGACTGGTACAGATAGAACACTTCTCCTGGTTCTGCTTAGGTTCTTGACCCACAGAATCATGAGTACACAAAAATGGCTGCTTGATGCCATTAAGTTTTGGGGTGGTTTGAAATGCAACAACAGACAACCGTACCCTCACATTACATATGATACTGGTGTATGAGCCTGAAGATCTAGAGAAAGTATGTTGCTAGAGACATAGATATGGAAGTCATCAAAACATAAATAATAATTGAAGCAATGGAAATGGATGAAACAGTTCCGGGAATGTGAGTGGAAAAAGAGGGTAGAAATGATATTAGAAATGACTATAAGAGACAGACAATTAAATAGTTATATACAAATATTTTACCTACTCTACTACAAAGATTTATAGCTATTATAGCTATAAGAAAGATGCCATTTCTTATCTTGTCTTGGCAGGTCAGATGCTGTAAAGAGAAATAATGCTTCAACGTAGTTTGAAGGTTGAGTGAGAATTCACCAAATGAAATGTTGTAGAGTAATGAAACAGCATGCTTCATAGGAATGATGTAGAAAAGATACCTGGTCTGCAGCAGAATGTGGGCTTTCCCTTTCATTATATGAAATTATCACTGGGAGAAGATTATCCAGCAACAAACTACAGTTCCCAAACATGTCTTGTGACAGAAAGTGAGCTTAAGTGATGTATGTTATTTCCAGGCCAGAATTGTAAGTGTGTTTTTATTGTACATTGCTGCTTATATCTTGGTTAGCAGCAAAATCTGAGAACCTGGGGGTTGATATCAGCCTGGGGCCTGAATCAGCATGTGGAGATGAAACATCTGCAAATCAGGAACATCCTCATTTTAGGGTTTCATGAATAAAAAATAAAATTCTATTTTGTTAAGCAACTGAAATTTTAAGGTTTATTAGTAGTAGCACCTAGCATTGTCTCCTTCTGCAGCTGTACTAAACTGCTTTAAATTCGTATATTAAAGAAATGCAAGACAGAAGGATATTAAAGAAACGCAAGTTTGCAGCGGTCAGATGTGGAGGGTCTTATGTGTTCTTGGTTGAATTGAACAAATTTTCTTAAAAACAAGTGGTAGTGAATAGCATGATCAAAATTCTCTTTTGAGATGTAAGCACAGAAAATCATTTCATTGTCTTTGGTCCCAGCTTACCTCCCTTTTTAATGTAGAATATTATAATTTGAGTCTTTTTGCACACATTTGCAAGCCATGTCATGTCTATTATCCTTTTATAAAAAGGTCCTGGTGTGAGAGAGAGACAGAACATGAAAGAGAAGTATCATTTTTAGCATGCAAGAAAACATACAGTGAACTTCCAATAACCCCCCAAATTCACAGGCTTATAGGCTGACAAGTCAGATTTATTGAATGGTAAAATAATAGTACTTTTTTACTTCACTGAACTTATTAGTGTGTGTTTCACACACTGTGAAGAAAAAAGTAATGAGTGAAATGTGACCATTTGATATCTCTATTGTGTGTGTGTTGATGTGTGTAAAGGAGGAAGGGAGAAAACCTCCAGGTATCTTAGTTCTATTTTCTGCAATGGGACATATTACATAACTACTTCTTGTTGAACTGTAATTATAACAGAGCCACCTTTATAAACATGAATACAGGAGAAACTAATTAGGTGCTGACAATAAGCAAATATTATTTTCTTAATTAGATCTCCTTCTATTGGAAATCCTGCTTTGTTCCTGCTACTCCAGTGTGAATGACATTTGAATCATAACAGTGTCTCACAGAACGGCCTTTCAGGGATGAAAAAGACAGACGCAACGTCACAGTCAATGAATACCTTTTCAAATCTTTGCTAATCTGAAGTCAATCAAATGCAGCCCCCAAAACAGCGCTTTTGCTGATTTGTATACCCGCATAATTAGCGGGGAAACTGTTCAGACGGCACATTTTTTGTATTCAAGTATTTTGATAGTTCTTTTGTCACTTATTATTTTTACATAGCTGGTTACTATCTTATAGTTGGAATGCTCAACTTGAGTTAGCATGAAGACAAATGCAATTTGATGGTTTATCAGTACCAGACCCCTATCCTGAAAAGTCAATCTCTCTTTCTCCCTCTTCCTCTTTTTCTCTCCTTCTCTCTCTCTCTCTCTTTCTCTCTGGCTCTTTCTCCTCCCAATTCTTCCCCATCTCCACTCTTTCTCCATCCCTCTCCTTCTCTCCCTCTCTCTGAACTGTCTCTATTCAGCACATACATTTTTAAAGAAATGAGAAGGATTCACTGAGAAAGTCATATTTTGTATGAGGTGCAGCAGTAAGGAGAGAGTAGGATATAGCTTTATGGAGATAATTCTTCCCTAGAAACCTCTGACTTTTGAAACAGCCTCAGACACACGTTGAGACACTTGCAATAGATATGCAAGGGTAATGGCCACATCCCTTGAGTAATAAACACACTTGTCATTGTGGAACCAGGAGGCCGAGTTATGCTACCCATTTGGATTAAAATTTCATCAAAATGCCATGTATTGAGAAGCAGCTAAGGCCCTACAGAAGTAATATTAAGATAAACGATGTTAAAACAGGATTTTCTATCTTAATAGTTAAGGAACGATAGTGATTTTTTATCTTGTGTTCATATATTAGAAAGCTAAATTCTGTATGAATTTATATTTTTACCTCAGATCTCAGAAAAAATGTAAAAATGATATTTTAATCTCACGAAATAACTCCCACTTTTGCTTCAACACAATAGTGTTTGGTGTCATTCAATGAGGATACATCTAGGAAGCTTCAATGGTAGAAATGGAATAAGTTTGGGAGTAAAACAAAGGCAAGTAACTCAGTAAACATCTAATATATACAATTAAAAATGTTTACTTAAATTTTTTCAGCTACATGGTTATTATCTATAAAATTGTTATAATAAAACTTCAGGTGGTTGTACTGATGATTAAATGGTCGGACTGATGATAATGTTTAAAATGTCAGGTGGATTAGTTGGTTTGCTTTAAACATGTTTTTCTTTGGGCATTATTCTAGGTTCTGTGATAGATACAAACATGAGTAGGATAAAGATGAGCTACTAAAATTATTGCCATTTCAGCATTTTGACCTAAAAATAATAGATTTATATACTTCAACCTAAAATCTATCCTCAAATAACTAAAAATCTAGTAATCTAGTAGAATTGAGAGTAACATTTATATATAGAGAGAGTATTAATATCTACATGGTAATAAATGTTAACAGAGTAATATGTACTATACGATTATAGAATTGCAATAGATTTAATCTCTCTTGGGTGAGATTGGATTTAGGAAATTTCATATAAAAGGTCTTTCAATTTTGCAAAGAATTGTTTCAGGTGGAGGAGAAACAGAGAGAGAGGTAGAGATAGATAGATAGAGCTATATAGGGAATCTTCAAGAAATGACAATTATCTGGTAGTTACTCATCTGATAATTCATTATGCTTTTTCCACAGCCAGTAAAATATTTTTCTTCAAGAGCATGCAAATATTCACATATTATATAGACAAATACACTAGGGGATTTTTTGAGCCCAATTTTTGAATATTTGGTTAGGCTGAATGCTATAAAGTAATTTAAAAATGGGTTCACAATTTGCTGACAGTATATTCTATCATTTCGTATTTGGGTATACATTTAAACTATCTAAGTCTGTCTCCTAATCTTGAAAGTGTGGATAATCATACTTCTCTTACAGGGTTTTTGTAAGAACTAAGTGAATTAATATATCTAAAACCCTTAACTAAATGCCTAGAATAGGCACCATCAATAAATCATAATTTTCTGTGTCACAATAGGTAGCGAGGCTATTTCCATTTGAGACTGTGATATTTAATTTTAGGACTAACATTTAATAAATAATACTTGTTTTAGCAACAGAAGAAAAATCCTTGCCGTTTTTCAGGAGTGCTGCAAGTTTGTTTTTCTATTGTTGTTTTCTTAGTCTTTGTGTGGTTAAAAAAGTCAGCATTTTTGTATAGCTAATCCATTAGTGGCCTTAAAAGAGAAATCGTTTGGTGTTTTTTTATGAAATTTGTGAATAAGTAGCTTAATTATAATCATTCTCAGGCTCTCCTTACCCTTAATAAGTGTGTGTGTTTCTAATACTTAAAAGAAATCACCTAGGCTCTACAAATGTGCATGGAGAAATGATTTTCAAATAATTAAAGGACATGAAGGGATGGGTTATGACCACATGATGGTGGCAAGGTTAAAAGCAGTGTTGTCAGAGGTCAGATAAGAGAAAATTTATATTTACTGAGCACCTACTATGTACCAGGCAGGACCTGTGTTTATATTCTGAGTATTTCTTTCTCATTGTAAGTATGCAAGGGTATTAACATCATCCCAGTTTAAAGGATGAGGTAAGTAAGGCTCAGGGAATAGGCATAAGATGCTGAAGCAGAAGTCAGAGGCTGCATAGAGAGAGCTTCTTACTCACACTGGCACTACCAGTTTCCATATTTCTGTTTCTAAGTTTAGTGGCTATGGGGAAGCTATGGATCGTTAGTAGGACTCATTGCCATTGGAAGTAACTGTGACATTTTTGGCAAAGAATGTAGAACCTGTTAACCACTAGGTGAGGAACCTCATGCAAATCTCATTTGAGAGTTTAGGGGACTTCTGATAGCTTCTAAAGATGAGCTGATTTTGGAAGGGACGATCAATATCTTCAAAATAATTATCAAATTAAATGGCTATATCCATGAATTGCTTTTTTTTTTTTTTTTTTTTTTTTTTTTGGTGGTAAGTCCTGCAACCATTTAGTGCAAATGTGACTTAGAAAAAAAAGATAAAAGCATCAAATAAATGTAATGTAAATTACCTGAGTTGTCAACATAACTCTGTACATAATTCCAGGTCCACATGCCTGTCAGAGAAAAGACAGAAATAGGAAGTGAGTCTAAATCTGTCCTGTGGACTACATAAGTTACTCTATATGTGTATATATAAGTATACACACCCCCCCCAAGCACACATACACATGCACACACACACACACGTGTGTGTGTGTGTATATATATATGTATATATATATGTATGGATAACCTATTTTATTTACTCTATAAACGAGGAAAGCGAAGCTTAGGCATTTACGAAAATTGCACAAAACAAGGTGATTAGAGGAGAATTGGGACTCCATCTGTTTCTAAACCTCATGGCCTTTCCACTATCTAATATATATTTTTGAATATACGACATAAATATTATTCATTCATTCTTTCAACAGATATTTACTCAGCATCTACCCTAAGCCAGGCACTTTCCTAGAATAGGTATGTGATTAAACTCAAACTGTTACCTCTTAGGGACTCACAGTCTACTAGGCATGAGACATGTAAACACACACATCAAAACTGATGTAAACACAGAATGGAACAAAGAAGCAGGATTGATGCGTGTAGGGGTGTCAGGTGATTTTTGAGCTGGGTCTTGGAGGACAATATGAATATTTCAAGTGACAAGGACATGCCAGACAGGGAACATCAGCCTGGCAAGGAAGAACATAGAGCCAAAACTGGCCTGGGAGACATAAGGTTGGGATATAAATGCTGCCTGTCTCCGTTCTCAGCAGGCCTTCCCACTGCCGCCTGCTGCTCTCATCTATTTTCTGGCTTTGCAATTCCCCTGCACTCCCAAACCTACTATTACATTCCCATTCCCCCTCCTCCACCTCCTCACCTAATGTCCAAAACACATGGGTATGTGAGATAAGTGGGTGAGCAAGTTGCAAATTGAGAAAGGGAGGGGTGGAGTGCAGGAGCGTCACAGAGGATGAAGGGCACAGGAATGACAAGCACCTAGGCCTTAAAACCCCATGATTGCCTTCCTTCACCTTGAAACCTTTCTTGCTGTTCCATGGCCAACATCATACTTTGCCAAATAATTTTGACTGATAGCATCTTTTGGGCTGATTCAAAGGTAAAACAAAGCAGATCATCAAGTTCTATAAATGAGAAAATATTTAAAAAATTACCGATTATTTACCAAGGAAAAACAAAACATTTGAAAAAAATATCTTGAACAGTCATCCAACCAAGAGCTTAATTCATAGGGTCTCCTTAAGCAATCACCACCAGGTGATGCTAATTAGCCTGAACAGTGCACAGGTGTTACTCTATAAGGGAAGTAAATAAATAAATAAATTCATAAATAAATAAATTGCAGCTTCAACATAGCTGCCTGTATCTCTCCTCATTGTCTCCAAATATGCCACATATTTTTTTGAGATGGAGTCTCGCTGTATCGCCCAGGCTGGAGTGCAGTGACACGATCTCAGCTCACTGCAACCTCTGCCTCCCGGGCTCAAGCCGATTCTCCTGCCTCAGCCTCCCGAGTAGCTGGGATTACAGGCACACGTCACCATGCCCGGCTAATTTTTGTATTTTTAGTAGAGACGGGGTTTCACCATATTGGCCAGGATGGTCTCGATCTCTTGACCTCATGATCCACCTGCCTCAGCCTCCCGAAGTGCTGGGATTATAGGTGTGAGCCACTGTGCCCGGCCAAGATGCCACTTTTAAATATGCCTTCTTTAATATCTATTGTGTTAGTTATGCAAACTATTGTGGTAACCTGAAAAATGTTCTTTCTTCTCTAAATATAAATAACTGTATTCGATTGCATATCCATTTGTGCATTCATTTAAGTGAAATAATAATCTAAACTACTACGTACCTGACACTGGGCTTGGCACTAAGAATAAGGTAATAGAGAAAAATGCAATTGGTCTTTCTTTTATGGGCTTACAGTCTACTAGGAGAGAAATATATTAATTAAGTTACATAATTAGGTGATTGCAGTTTAATGTCTTCAAGGGAGGCAATGTAAAAGGCAATATGAAAATAGGCTGGGCGCAGTGGCTCACACTTGTAATCCCCACACTTTGGGAGGCCCAGGCGGGCGGATCACAAGGTCAGGAATCAAGACCATCCTGGCCAACATGGTGAAATCCCGTCTGTACTAAAAATACAAAAATTAGCGTGGCATGGCGGCATGCACCTGTAGTTCCAGCTGTCGGGAGGCTGAGGCAGGAGAATCGCTTGAACCAGGGAGGTGGAGGCTGCAGTGAGCTGAGATTGCGCCACTGCACTCCACCCTGGGTGACAGAGCGAGACTCCATCTCAAAAAAAAAAAAAAAAAATAGGTAAACACAGAGACCTTACCTAGTTTATGCTACTGTGGACTGCTTTCTCCTAAGGTAGTGGGAGCTGTGATTGAGTCAATGCATAAATTCCAGACCAAAGAAATAGAACAGTTCTGCAGCAAAGCAAACCAAAAGAACAACAGGAAGTCCTGTGTGAATGGAACCCAGAGCAAGCAGACCCTAATGCTGTGAGACTAGAGAGTGAATGGGTTTTCCAAAGCCTGCTAAAAAAGCTAATATTTGAATTCTTTCCAAATGTTCTAAAATATTTTAAGCAAGAATGTCTTATCTGATTCAGGGAAGGCTCCTGAGTGGACAGAAATGATCCTTATATGATAGAAAAGTAATCCAATTTGGTTGGCCCAAAAACTGTATCAGATTTAGACATGGATGGAGTTGGAGAATTTTCTCTCCAGGATATGAGTCCATCAGAGAACGAGCATTTGTGCTCTAAACATCTTTAGTGGCGTGAACCTGAATCCAGAATCTTGTCACATAGCCAGAATTTGTTCATGAAAACTGCAAAACAGGACAGTAAGAGACTGAAGGCAACTCAATGCACACTTAAATCAACAGTACTTTGAACAATCCAAGAATGAGCAAGCTGGAGGAAGAGACCCTTACTGATTTCACAAAATTCTATTCAAATTGTGTCTCTGGGTGTAAGAGACAGAGACAGAGAAGGAGACAAAGATAGAGACAGAGATCCAAAGAAAGAGAGTCTGATTGACTTTGTAAAGGGACTTATTGACTTACAGGTATAAACGGAATGTCCACAGTAAATGAATGGGTTTTGGATTTCCTGTAAAATGTTATTTTCAAGCTAATAATTTATGAAAATATTTCTATATTTGTCAGATAAAATTAAAAGGTAAATCTTAGGCTATAATATTGGCCGTAGTAATATTATATTGGGATTACAGGCATGAGCCACCATATCTGGCCACTATAATAGATTTCTGACTCTAAAAAGTCCTTGGCTGTACTGATTGAGCCTCCTCCCCAATCTTACAGGTGAAGGAACTAAAGCACAGAGAGGGTGAGAAAAGTGCCCAAAAACACACAGCAAATTTGGGACTGGGCTCCAGTTCTCTCCAGGGGTTTTCCACATCCCAAGATCTGGGATGTGGAGTCAAAGGGAGTCAAAGTCTCTATAGAAATGAAAGGTTTTACTTAGGAAAGGTCTCACTTCTGACACATAACAAATATGAATAAAAAATTTTATAATTCCTGAAAATTTTTTATGAACTGGTTGAACTCTATTTGTGTTCATCCATCACTTTGCCTATTTTATTTGCTGTTAGTTTAAGGGAATACAATGTTCAGAAGTTAGATGGTTGTATAGAAATATTAGCATACATCCATGGAGCAAAAGATTAATCTATCAGCCATTTCAATTTCAGAATTAGCCATTATTTTTCTAACTGGAGGTACATGGTTTGAACCAACAAATCACTGCCTTCTCTAATGTGCTTTGCCTGAAAGTTGTATGTTGTGTCTTCCAAAGGGTGGGTGGGAGAATTAAAGATTTAGATGGAAGAACATTTTGGCTCATATACATAGCAGTAAGTAATGTTAAATCATAAGTAAACTATTTTCATTTCAATTATATTTTTCTCTTGATTAGGAGATTGTGTCAATGATAACAATATCTTTAACACCTAACATTTAAAAAATTACCCTTATATAAGCCTATATCTTGACAAGTGTCAAGTTTAGAGCTTGCCCATAGTCAACAATATCCTATCAAAATGAAATCTAATTGTTTTAATGTATTGCATTAATATTTATGTGATATCTCTATTTCTGGCAAATATTATTAATTTTACATCTTTGGTAGTAACATAGCATTCAAAATTAATTTTAACTTAAATGAGTTTATTAAATAATTTAGATAAATGATATTATAGTATGTGGTTAGTAGATGTAAAGAGGTAATAAAGGTTGAAAAAAATTGTTTTAATAGAGAAAAATATGACCTTTGGAATTTTAAACTGATTTCATTACTTACTCATTATGTGACCTGGGCAAGTCACTTAACCTTTCTGAGTCTCAGTTTCCATTTCTGTATTATGAGAATTATAATGATTCTGACCTCATGAGTTCATTATAACATTAAATAAGTCTAGCATATAATCAAAACCCAGCAAAGGTTATTATAGTTGAACACAAAGAGATAATAAAATTATAGAAGTAACATAGCCTACATAATGAAAGATGAAAAACAGAAGTGAATCCTTTGGCCTTATCCAAGGCACACAATACAAAAGAGGAAAATATTTTGGAAATAAACAGAGTCAGCACCAGATGCAACACAATTAAACTGAACAGTCCCTCGTGTTTACAAGAAAATCCTCACTCACAATTACCCAAACAAATCTATTCACTTAGAAACCCAGAGGGCTTCAAACCAAAGCACATATCTCTTTAGGGCCTCTTAAACTATTTTTATTGCTATCTAAATTTCATACACCAGCAACACCAGTAATACACATTAGTAAGAATGCTATTAGAAGTTCAGATTGTTCCTACAATCTATCAACCACTCCATTCAATTCAGTTCCGTTTGATTCATTCCAGCAACCACATGGGTGGTGATGTACACTATATACTGTGTGAGATAGTAAAGGAAGACCAAAGAGGATTTTCATAGCTCATGTCTTCACAGACCTTTGTTTTTTCCAGCATTCTTTATTTGGTTAAGTTCTAAACATTCTATGGTAAAGAGAATCCTACTTAATATACACAGTCACTTAATTCCTCAATATTTCATTGAATGGATTAACAAACAATTGTGTTTTTAATAAATAGTAGATGCAAAATAATTTGTGGCAGATTGGAAGGCACTGGGATGAAATGATGAAGGAGTTAGATTTTGGAAAGAAATCAGTGGTTCCTTTCAAAAGTACAAATACTGTGTCATGGAATCAAAGGTGAGTGAGGGATTCATTCCTATCTTTCCAGCACACATCACTGTCAGATGGCCAGTGCCTGTCCTTCTGGGTCTGGCTTCATTCTCTGATGGAGAATTCTTCTGGACAAAGTCTGAGCTAAGTCTTGGGCTTGAGTTGAATAAAATATACATTTTATTAAATATTTGCTTTATGAATTAGACATAGAGCTGATCATCTTATCTTGGTACAGAGTAAGAAGACAACTCCATCTGCCACGTTATGTAAAGCAGGCATCAGCCTTTATGCTCAGCCATGGACAGAACAAGGGAAGCTTTAGGGCATCAAGACAAAGAGAGGGGTTTGGGACTAGGGTGATATTATACATAATGTTGTACCTTGAATATGGTGGCAAGATATTATCTTCATTGCTAAATACCAGAAATATTTTACTTTCTATTCTTGACCTCATACTAAACAGTGATTTTCCAGATATATCTTCATTATCTTTAAAATTAATTGGTCCAGAATAACTAATTCTTAGTAAATTTTTAAAATTTGTTCTCTTTGGATTAAAGTGATGAGTTTTCTTTTACATAAAAGCAAAATTTTTTTTTCCCCAAAACATCTCAAGTGTTACTTTCTCCTCTCCATCCTATTGCCACTAATTAAAAAAGCTGTTACTAATATCTGGCTTGCATGCTTGTAATAGCTTCCTGAATGGTTTCCCCCAATCCACTGCCAATTATGCTTATCTTTCTAAAACTCAACTCTTTTTTTGGCCATTCCCTACCTAAAAATTCATCAATATAACCTGATTTTCTTTATAAAATAGTCAATTACTTTACTAATGGCATTTAAAGCCATCTATAATCTAATATTATTTTGCTTTTCTGCATTTATCCCAAAATATCTTGATTATGTTTACCTCCTTCTTTTCCATGGGTTACTTTTGGAAGATAATTTCCATATAGGTTGTTTCATAATATAATTTAACATAATCACAAAATACTAAATATAAAGCTGCAAGGGAGGGTTGACTGTATCTATATCTATCTATGTAAATATCTCAATATAAATATTATATAAAATCCTGAATATTTATAAAACAGCTGTATGATGCACAGTTTTAATCCATAAAACTTTCCAATCAATGCAGAGACAATAGAATTCAGAATTGTCCAGAGGACACGTTGAATCTTCCTGCAAATTCCTTTTCCAAACTTGCTTTTCCTCTCTGCCTAGACAGTCAAATAATTCTCTGTATTTATAGGACACTTGTGAAGCACTTAAAACAGAACAGTATGTAAATTCACACTAAATAATGCAAAATGCTACAGGAATCTGTTTTCCAACTTGCTGCAGCCATCATCACATACAAGGAAAAAGAGAAGGACAACTAGAAGTAAAAAGCAGCTGTATGTTTTTTAAAAGCTACAATAGAATAGTGTGCATTTTTAATGTTCTAGACCTACACACCATAGCTAGAGGCTGTATTTATTTCATTAAACGCATTTTTGTCTATAGGGAGGGCAAGTTCAAGTTTTAGAGGAAGAATAATATGTTTAATGGATTCTTGATTAATATGCTTTTTATGAAAATGTAGGAAACAACTACATATTTTAATAACATGTGTTGATCAAAATAAGTTATTGATCTATAACTTGATAACGGCTTATGAATAGTTCTTTGGTACTATTGATACTTTGGTACTATTAAAACCTGACCTCTCACCTTTGCTTTGGAGACCCTTCTCAAAAATTATAAGTCCTTCCTAAAAAAAAAAGGAATATAAGGAATATAGTTGTTAATGGTTCACTCATTCACAGAAGGAATACTTATTGAGTATCTTTAGGATGTAGGGTAAGTAAAACTGAACACATTCTCTGATTCTCAATGTATAAAAAACTAATAGCAGTGCTATAGATGAGAGAAAGGTGGTTCTATGAGAACATATGCCAATAATACCCATTTGACACTAGTGGTTAAGGACAGCCTCCTCCAGAAAGTAACACTTTGGCTGAGATCTGAAAGGTGGGCAGGAGTTAATATGGAGAAGGGGGTTAAGGATAGTATGGTTTACGGAATAACAGTCCCTCCGTGTGGTCACATACTGATCCCTAGAACCTATAAATACATTACAGACTTGACAAAGAGGACTTTGCTAATGTGATTAAGATAAGGAGTTTGGGATGGTGGAATGTTCCTGGATTAGCAAGATGGGTCTAATGTAATCACAAGGTTTCTAACAAGAATAGTGAGGGGGATCAAAGTCAGAGACAGCAATGGGGCAATAAAAGCAGAGGGAGAGAAGGTAGTGTGATGCTAGAAGCAGACGTGGATAAAGCCATGTGATGAGGGAAGCACAATGATGTGACTGCTGGTACTCAGGAAGGAGAAGGACCATGAGCCAAGGAATGTAGGGAGCCTCTGGAGGCTGAGAAGTCAAGAAAAAAATTCTTCTCCAGGGGCTCCGGAAAGGATATGGCCCTGCCATTCCTTAGATGTCTGGTACTTCTGACCTCCAGAAATGTAAGATAACAAATGTATCCCATTTTAAGCCATCAGGTTTGTGGTAATTTGTTAAAACAATAATAGGAAGTTAATATAGATGGCTTCTTTATAAAAGGGGGGAAGAATATTCAGGCAAAGAGAACTCTTTGTGTGAGATAGAGTTTGCATATTTGAGGAATTGAAAAAAGGGCTGATATTTCTGAAGCACAGAATTTAAGGACCAAAGGAAACTTAAAAAGTCAAAACTGTACAAGGTATTCAAAACCATCTATTTCAAAACCTCATTTTATGAATGAAGATAAAATATGGTTTACTTAAGATCATGGAATCTATTAGTAAAAGAATCTTACAAATTTCAAGATGTAAGAAAATCCACATTTGATCAGAATGCAACTCATTTATCCATTCAATCATTTACAAATATTTATTGACTGCTATGTAGCAGATCAGGGCACAGTGGCTGAGGACATATAGAATCAGGAAGAAATAAAGCATAGCCACTGACTTGCTGTGTTCCTGTCCTTGTAATATCCATGTACTTCTCTGTCACCTTCACTATAGGGTAAGCTCCTTGAAGGCAAATGCTGTTTTAGTTTAAGCACGGTATATTTATGTGAGGCCGCTAATAGAATATTTGGGAACATGGATTTACTTTGAGTATGCACCAGCCTGTGTGGGGACATGAGCTCCAGAAGCTACATTAGGAATATAATGCGGTGATAACAACAAGCTTAAACATGCATTATACCATTTAATCCACACAATTTCCCCACAAGGAGGGTGCATTTCAAAATGTATATATTTCCATGGCATAGTCTTGAATCCCCACTGCCTGTTTTAGCTGTGACGCAAACTTAGGACCCTGTGACTCCTGTTTTCTCCTAAGTAAAGTATGTATATTAATAGTAACTGTCAGAGTAGTGGTAAGGATGGAATAAATGTATATGTGTTAAATATATGTAAATTACCTAGCAATCTGACAAATAGTAGGAATTCAACATTTATTGAGTGAATAAAATAATGAATGAATGAACAGTGTGTGTGTGTGTGTGTGTGTGTGTGTGTGTGTGTGATCTTGTAGATGTAAGTGAGAGCTCCTGTGAGCCTATTGAAACACAGCAGACATGAATTGGGGATCAATTTGTGCACCAGGCAGTCAGAAGTCTTGGCCTGGTGCAGGTGCCAGTTCCAAGCCTGGCTCAGTCTATATCTATACGAGATGATGCTAACCTCTATGAACCTCATTTCTTCATCTGAAAAATGAAGATATCAATCTGTGCTGTGATCTCTGTTTGAATTATTTCAAGGATTGAGTGACATGGCTGCAATTTCTCTAATTTCCATACCACCACAACCTTAATAAAGTGAATAGAATTCTCATGAACATTATTATTAATGTAGTTGCGATTTTTAAGAAACATTGCATTTGACTGCATTATTTTACCAAAGCTTTAGCTTACCAGTTTAGATATTGTTCCCTCTTTGTTCATAAACTGTTATTAAGACTCTCTATGTTCACCATGAATAACGGCCCCACCCATAGAGAAGTGAAAACACATTTGTTTTACTCAGAAAACTCTGAGTCATACACTGTGAGGTTGTGTATTGTGTATAAACTATTATTTTCCATTTCTACAGCACCAGTCTCTTCTGTTGATATTTCTAACCACATCTGTAGATATCATTTTTAAGGTCTTTAGGACTGACACACAATGGGACCTTTTCAAGAAAAGACACCTCTTGCCTACAATTTCTTCTTCTTGTTTGTTGGGAGCTTCAAGTGTTGACATCTGAGAGCTGAAACATGCACTTAGGGAGGTTGTGACTATGCCTTTCAATCTTGCTCATGAGAATGTAAAGGTAGATGGCATAAATCTCTGGTATCTGAATTGTATTTCATAGCATCTGTACTTTGTCAACTGCAAACAAGATGAGGTGGAGAAAAATGCCAGCATTTGAAAGAAAGAAGAAACCTATTCATTTCAGGGTTTTAAAATTAATAGATTTTGGACATGGGGCAAATAATTTCTTCTCACTGGGCATTGATATTATCATTTGTTCAGTATAATATTGGAAAGACCCATAAAAATTGCCAGGTTTATAACCTAATAATCTGTGCCTATGATTCTAGTTCATTGCAGTGGGAAACCTGTTGATGTATGAATAAAAACCTGAACAATGTAGTCTGCTGGATTAGCGCACCAATCCCAAATTTGCCACTTTCTAGTTGTAAAATTTAGAATATGATGCCACATTTATCTGCAGATTAAAACGTTGCGGCTTTAAGTGGAGACAATTTACCCATCTCACACGACTTTTCAGAGGATTAAATGAAAAATAATATGTCAAATGAATAGCACAGGAATCTGGCAGGATGGCAGACTAAGTTAACCTAAATCACTCCAGAAATAAATCTTTAGCCATGGTAGATGATATGTAACAACAATAAAAAATATGAATGCATAGCTGAGTTCAATAGGAAATTAAATCCTCAGGAGGTAAGAAGTAAAAACGGAACTTGAAGAAATGTATTACCCTCATGAATTAGCATTACAGCTACCCTTGGAGTGGGCTATCAATATGAAAAATAAAAAGGAAAAGAAAAGAAAAAGACAATGTCTTGAGCTGGAAAGTTTGAAGAAATTGTAACTAAACCTTTATACATAACATTGAAATCATTCAATTGCTTTATTAGTGAAAGGAAAAATTCCACCTAACGTAGAGAAAGATGGCAAGGCACCTCATCTGTTTCTATTGGGCTCTAGGAAAACACACATGCAGAAGCATACACACACAAACCTCATGTCAGAAACAGAGTAGCCCATCTTTCACACAGGCTGTGTACTACTCATAGATTCTGGGATGCAGAAGTTAAGAAATTATCATAAAGCTTGGTCTTGGGCTGGTGATAATTTTAGGATGCCTGACAAAGCACAAGTAAACTTCACTTGAAGTTCACTCCTGCAAACAAAGTTGGGTTGTTCCCATTAAAAAAAAAAAAAAAAGCCCTGTGTCTCTGAGCACACCATCTCCCATTGCAAAACAAATGAGATAACCATCTGCCAGCAATGAGAATAAATGGAAATAGCATGTCGGAGAATTAGAATCTCAAGAATATCACATAATAGAACTATCCTTAACATAAAAGTTTATCAAATAGTATGTATAACTTAAATTTAGGAATAAAAATCATAGAATATGGAAAATGATTCTACCAAAGAAAGAGACAAATAAGCTATTGAAAGTAAAGATTAAATGCACAAAAATAAATCACAGAACAGGCCCAGCTGAACAGAACAATAGTAAAGCAGGATATATATTCAAGTAAATTATACTCAATATGTCACAGTGAAATAAAAGGAAAAGAAGATTAAAAGTATTGTTAAAAGAAATAGAGGAGAGAATGAAAGCATACAGCATTACAAGTAAAATGGAATTCCATAATGGGTGAATAGAGAGAATGGTATAAAAGGAATTATCCAAATATAATAGCTCACAATTTTCAGTAATAATGAAATATATGAATCTTCAGGTGTAGAATCACTGTAGATCCCAGTCAGAATTAAAAAAAAAATCACAAGGCATATCATAGTAAAACTACAAGATATCAGAGATAAGGGGAATATATATCCTTTCTTTCTGGTTGCTTTTAAGATTACCTGAGAAAAATGTTCAACAATTATAAATAACAGTTGTCTTCTCAATAAAGAAACATAACAGACTGTTACTTTCAGAGTTAACAGCAAAACTAACCACCTACATGAAATTCTTTACCCAGGTAAACTATTATGCAAGGGTGACATATTTTTTAGGCAGTGAATGAAAAGTTTAACATTCATATATCTTTGTTGAAGGAAATACTAAAAGGGTTACTTCAGGAAAATGAAAAGAAAACCTAGAGGTAATACTTGTAATATGAGAATCAATAAGAACTAACAAAAAGTCCCAGCAAAATGTTATCATCTATTACACTTGTCAATAGGTACATGGAATTTTCATGTTATTTTTGTTCCATATTTATTTAAAAATAAATTATGAAACATATAAAAATGTAAACTACTTTCTCATCCAGATATTTTCACAGATATTAACAGTAAGTTATATTCTAACCTCATATTCATCCATTAAGAATATAAAACGTGTTCATAAATTCTAGATACATTAAGTTTGTTTGGATGGAGCCACATGGAGATGTGGGTAATAAAATATGCTTATTGAAGTTGACCAAAACATATGTCAGAAAGCAAAATATATGAAGAGATGTTTAGAGACGATGAAATAAAATACACAATCAGATTTGTGTAGCTTTGTGGAACAGCCATTGGCAAAAGTCCGAAAACGTAAAGAGCTTATTCAGGATTGTGTTTTTCAGACAAAACTACAGGAAGTACTTAACAATGATATTTGGACATGAGATCTAGCTGACTGACCTTAGAGAGCCAGAATTAGAAGGTATAAATAAAGTTTTCGTTTCTTGCTTAACTCTTCAGAGCTTATGCCATTTATTAACAAAAGATTTGTAACTCAAACTCAATTAAACAAATAAATAATTAAGCAAAGGGATTCTTTGGCTTATATAACTGAGCCAAAATTTCCAGTCTCCCAATTTCTTGTTTGTTTGTTTGTTTGTTTGTTTGTTTGTTTTGAGATGGAGTCCTGCTCTGTCGCCCAGGCTGGAGTGTAGTGGTGCGATCTCGGCTCACTGCAACCTCCACTTCCCGGGCTCAAATGATTCTCCTGCTTCAGCCTCCCAAGTAGCTGGGATTACAGGCGTGCCATCACACCCATCTAATTTTTGTACTTTTAATAGAGATGGGGTTTTGCCACATTGGCCAGGCTGGTCTTGAACTCCTGACCTCAGGTGATCCACCTGCCTCTTCCTCCCAAATTGTTGGGATTACAGGCATGAGCCACCGCACCGGCCTCCGGATTTCTTTCTTTGCAAATCTTTCTTTGCTTTCATCCGTAATATGATTTCATGGTGACAATAATAGAAACGTAATTTCTGACTTTGTGTTTCCATACTCCAGTTTCCGAGTGAGCAACGCTATCTTTTCCAGTATCTCCAAAAGAGAGAAGAAACTTCTATTTCTAAAGCAACAGCAAACGTTATCTCATGTAATAATGTTCCAAATTGGACCATGTGCTCACTGTGGAATCCATCACTATAAACAGGGACTAGGCTATGCCAACTGAGCTACACTGTAAGTTGGTCCCTTCCTAACCACATGATGGTGTGCCACAGAGGGGCAGCCCTTAAAGAAAAATGTAGTGCTATTCATGGGGAAAGGGTAACTGAGGCAACTCAAAACTTTTCAGCACCTTGTTAGCTTACGGAAATAGAATTTGATGTTGTAATTTTTCTTCCCCACATGAAGTTTGCAACTATGGTAATCTTGGTAGTCAATTCACCAAAAGCTTGTTCTATAGGCCCAACCTTACTACAGTGATAATGAGGTCAGGAGGAGAGATGCTATGGAACTCAGGGCTCAAAGGACAGTTAGACTGAAAATGAGAATTATTTTTAGGAGTGGTTAAAGGACCAGAAGTTGGAATGTTGAGAAAGGAAAAGCATATGAGATTAGAAGTCTGCAGAACAAATACAGGAATGTATCCCTGATTGTGTCTGATCAAATAAAAGCCGAGATCGCGCCACTGCACTCCAGCCTGGACGACAGAGCGAGACTCCGTCTCAAAAAATCTAATTATAGACACTTAATCTTTTACATTAGATATTAGGATGACATAGGACAGGAAATCAAACATGTGCTGCACTTAATCCCCATTGAGACACCCAGCAGATATCCATATATATAGCTTTCTTACTCTTTTATCTACATAGGAGATGTATGGCTCCCACAGACTATATAGTCTAAGTGCATGTGAATCACATTGACACCAAGAAGCTACAGTCTCAGTATCCTGCCCATCTTTTGTATCTCTAGTCATGCATGCCCAGGACCTGCAGGTCAACTCACAGCTCCCCCGTTACAGATGTCGTCTAAAACACAAGGGATTCACAATAAACAGTGATGCGTGATTTCACATTTAAAAAGTGAAATGCATGATTCTACATTCATCTTAACTTTGCAGGTTCCAAGGAAACTATACTGTGAGAAGATAGACCCAAGGTCATTTTTCCATGTACACGTAGGTCGATTCAGGCCTGATGCCTTTCTTTTACTTTTAAAACTCATACATGGCCAGGCGCGGTGGCTCATGCCTGTAATCCCAGCACTTTGGGAGGCCGAGGCAGGCAGATCACGAGGTCAGGAAATCGAGACCATCCTGGCTAACACAGTGAAACTCCGTCTCTACTAAAAATACAAAAAAAAAAAAAAAAAAAAATTAGCCAAGCATGGTGGCAGGTGCCTGTAGTTCCAGCTACTCAGGAGGCTGAGGCAGGAGAATGGCATGAACCCGGGAGGCAGAACTTGCAGTGAGCCGAGATTGCACCGCTGCACGCCAGCCTGGGCTACAGAGCGAGACTCGGTCTCAAAAAAAAACAAAAAAACAAAAAACGAAAAAAACCTTCATACATGCATGAGAAAAAAATTACAACACCTGGAATAATGCTTTGTTTATGGTTTATTATGTTCAATTATGCATATCTAATTGTATAGAAAACTATTAAACTCTCTATGATTTCATACTTCAGTATGGCTTTATTAATTCTTGTGAATTTCTTTTTTTTTTTTTTTTTGAGACTGATCTCACTCTGTCACCCAGGCTGGAGTGCAGTGTCACGATCTTGACTCACTGCAACCTCCACCTCCCTGGCTCAAGCAATTATCCTGCCTCAGCCTCCAGATTAGCTGGAAATTATAGGCACCTGCCACCACACCAGAATAATTTTTGTATTTTTAATAGAGACGGAATTTCACTCTGATGGCTAGGCTAGTCTCGAACACTGACCTTAATTGATCTATCTGTCTCGGCCTCCCTAAGTGCTGGCATTACACATTACAGGCATGAGCCACCACACTTGACCCAATCTCTTTCTTGTCATATGCATTTCTAAATTCCAAGGCTGAAAACAGTCTACAATATCTAACAAGAATGGGTAAACATTACTGTATAATCGATCTCCCTAAGGGCAGTACCTCCTGCCTCTCATTTACACCTCTATTTCTAACACACAGCTAGGTGCTAAGGCCATAGTAGCTGTCTCGTATTTGTTACATAAATGACATATGAATATATCACTTCATGCTCCTTGAATCTGTGTGGGGGCAAAAGATCAAATGAGGTAATAATCCCAGGGAAAACAGCTAGTCTAAGACCTGGCAGGTAGTTGATATATTAGTTATCTAGTGCAGTTGTAACAAAGTACCACACATTTCAGTGGCTTAATAAAACAGAAGCGTATTCTTTCATAGTTTAGGATAAAAGAAGTTCTATTTCATGGTATCAGAAAGGTTGTTCCTTCCCGAAGTCTTAAGGAGAGAATTTCTTTCATGTCTCTCTCCTGACTTCTACTGGTTACAGGCAGTTCTTAGGGTACCTTGGCTCGCATAACTCCAATCTCTGCCTCCACAGCCACGTGTGTGCCTGTGTTTCTGTGTCTTCTCCTTTTCTTATAAGGACACCAGTCATATTGGATTAAAGTCCCATCCTATTCCAGTGTGACCTCATATTAACTAACTACATCTGCAACTGCCTTATTTCTAAATAAGGTAACATGCTAAGGTTCTTGGAAGGACATGAACTTTGGAGAAATATTATTTGACCCAGTGGAGTGGATGATCAACAGTCTTGAAAATAATAGATATCATGCATTCTATGCAACTCTACAGAAGAAGCTGAAGTGATAATTCAACATGAATCTTCAGTCTACCTGGGTCTTTGTTCATGACCTCTGGCAGATTTCAGTATTTTCATTTGCCTGGGCCCCTTCAGGAATAGACTCAGACTTAGTTCTAGCCACAGTCCTACTCTATCAGAGACCAACCAATGTCTTCTCATTTGGTTAAACCTACCAGCCCTAAAGTACCACAGAGTAATGCTTGTTATGTTTCTATGTCATGGGAGGAGGAGAGGATGGGAGGGGAAAAAATCAAGTAATTACATACACTTCTAAAGAATAAGGCCAGGCATGGTGGCTCATGCCTGCAATCCCAACACATTGGGAGGCCGAGGTGTGTGGGTCACCTGAGGTCAGCAGTTCGAGACCAGCCTCGGCAACATGGTGAGACCCCATATCTACTAAAAATACAAAATTAGCAGACATGATGGCACATGCCGGTAATCCCAGCTACACGGGAGGCTGAGGCAGGAGAATCGCTTAAACCCGGGAGGTGAAGGTTGCAGTGAGCCGAGATCAAGCCACTGCACTCCAGCCTGGGCAACAAGACCAAACTCTGTCTCAAAAAAAAAAAAATAAAAAATAAAACAAAAAAAGAATAAGAGACTTTTCTTCCCATACTAAATGGAAATTCTATTATCTTAAATAACAAATCAGAGAAAATTAAAGAGCTTCATGTCAGTTTCTCTCTCTCTCTCTCTCTTTTTCTCTCTCTCTCTGTCTTTCCCTCTCTCCCATAAATATCCATCCCCTTATTTATGCTTTTTGTCATGGGGAACATTTCTCCAAATAGCTCCAATGCCCACATCCCTCAATTCACTCAGATATCTGCTCAAATATTACCTCATCGGGTAGGAATACCTCCCATACTACCATACATTTGTATTGATTTCGCATTCTTTATCTTTTTATTTATATATTAGGTATTATTTATTACTTGTCAGCCCCATAAAAACCCAAATATTCAAATATGCATACATACAAACAAATATTACATGCAAATATTATGCGTTTAGAGATCTTTCCTTGAAGGTACAGAAATGAATACACAGACTACATCATGGCAAATGTTGTTTTCTAAATTTTTCTATAAGTTAAATATGGGCTGTATAGTTTGCAAAATAACAACACTGAAACTTGTTTACACACTCATTTGGATATTATAGAATTGTCATGACAGCTATTGTTTCATTAGACCAACATAATTTCATGGGATATGGGCTCATTTACGTGTTTATTTTAAACACATACTATTGATAAGGGGAATTTGCTTGTGAAATTCATTTAATCTGTCTCAGTAATTGTTGGCTATTGTTAATTAAGTGATCATTCTGACTCAATTAGCGGTCAGAGCAGTGTAGACACTCATGCTTGAAACAAGTGTAGGAAATTCAAAACATAAAATAGATGGGGTTGTGTAATAAGAGTTGTGTGCTGGATAATAAATGCTTAAATGTATTTTTCTCCCCTCCTGACACTGAAGTTTTAAGATAACTTAGTACAGGTGTACGAGTTTAAAAAATAATTTCAGTCTCCCTCTACCTGTGATTACCTGCCAGGCACTTAAGAAGACAGTGGAGGGCCGGGCGCGGTGGCTCCCGCCTGTAATCCTAGCACTTTGGGAGGCCGAGACGGGCGGATCACGAGGTCAGGAGATCGAGACCATCTTGGCTAACACAGTGAAACCCCGTTTCTACTAAAAATACAAAAAATTAGCCGGGCGTGTTGGCGGGCGCCTGTAGTCCCAGCTACTTGGGAGGCTGAGGCAGGAGAATGGCATGAACCTGGGAGGCGGAGCTTGCAGTGAGCGGAGATCGTGCCACTGCACTCCAACCTGGGAGACACAGCGAGACTCCGTCTCAAAAAAAAAAAAAAAAAAAAAGAAGACAGTGGAAGGCTCAGCAAGCCCTCAAAGCAAGCAGAGACAGCTGGGATGCAGCATTTAAACTATCTGGGGAGGTGATGCTGTGAAAATAATCAGCCAGGCCTATCACATTTAAACATAAGAAATATTAATAGCTGAGACAGGCAAGAAAGGAGGGGAACATGATTTTTGACTTTGACACACAATCCTGGTTGCCAATAGTGTCATGTTTAGATGAAGAAGGCATTTTCCTAGATATAAGAGGAGTGTTATGGAGGGATAGGAGTGATTCCGACTTACCCTCCTTCTCTTGAAGTGCCTTGTGTGGTTTTGTTCATTGGACATTGGACAAGTCATTTGGCTTTATAAGTACACAAAACAGTGACCATTTATCTAATTTAGACGTGGCAAATGAGGTCTCAGAGGAAAGCAGTGGGAACTTACTAAAATATTTTAAAAAGAACACACACGCACACAGACACACATCCTTTTTTCATAATTTTCATGCAAGTAATATACCTAACTTATGGACTTATGGAATTTCTGTTATTTTCAGAAAAGAGTGGAAGAAAATGTTTCATTGTACAGGCTTTTAATTCAGACAGACCCGTATTTGAATAATGGCCCTACTGCTTACTACCTTTGTCATTGGCTCATGTTCTTAAGTCTCTCTGAAGCTTACTTAATCTTCCCAACAACCTCATGGGTTTGGTATTGAGATGATTCTTGTTTTACAAATGAATAAATTAAGCTAATTGCATTTAGACTTTAGCACACAGCAGAAAATCAGCAAATTCCAAATTCTCATTTAACATATACTCTGGAATATATACATAATCATATATATAATTATATATAAATACACAAACATATATAATCAGGTACAGGATTTACAAAGATTAATAAAATAACATTTCTGTCCTGGAGAAGCTAAAAATCTCTGGGGGAAACAAGTATAGGTAGATGATTTACAAAACGGCAATTGTACTAGACCTAAGAGTACACACAGTGTATTATCCTAAGTAAGCCTCACGAGCTACACCTTAGAGAATGTGTAGGGTTTGGCCAGATTGAATGCTGTCTTGGGCATTAGCTTATTTTTACAAATCTATTGTTAAAAACAAACAAATCTGAGGTTTGGGGGAAAAAAGCGTTAAGAGAAAATAGTCATAAAATAGAACCAGGGGACAGCTTTTTATACGATTAATACACGGGATGGTGCAAAACGCCAGGGAGGAAAGCTGTAAGGCACCCTACACCCTTAACAAGAAGCCACAGGCAAGCTCTCAGTGCAAATCCTCCAATCCTATTGATCCTGCCTGAAAAGCAGTGAGGCTGGTCCTGCAACGCAGAAGGTGGCGATCGGCAGCAAGTACACACGGCAGGCACTGCACGCTTCGGGAAACTTAATCATATAACGCTCTTCATTACTCACGAAATCACTCTCTGTCAATACTCCAGCTACAGCCTCCCTGACTACTGCTGTTTAAGATCCTGTCAATCTTTTCCTGCGATTTTGCCAACCAAATTCACTCAGAGCTATTTACAGGCAGTATTATCTCAGCTGATAACATTACACCATTCGTATGGCACAGAAATAGGAAAACAAAACTCATTCCAGCCCTTTCGTTCTGGCATTCTCTTTGCAAAAGGAAAAGGGCCCCCTCATGATGAATAGAGCTGGAGTAGAAATGTAATCCTCTGCTATTGCTAAAAGCCAGAAGAGCTGACTTTATTATTCCAAGGTAAATTTGGGGTTTAGCTGCATAATGACATCCTTGTAGTCCTGATATTTAAAGAGCATCATTATTGACTATCTTGCTGTGCATCAGGGCCTGTATCTGTTATCATGGATCCTCAGAGCAACCTTGTTTATTCATTATGCTTATTCTGAAATGTAGACAATATGCTCAGAGGAGGTAAGAAATGTGTCCGAGCAGTCACATCTACTGGCAAACAGAAACCCACGATTCAAACCCAGGTTTGCCTGTTGCCATTGCTTTTTTTTTTTTTTTTTTTTTTTTTGAGACGGAGTCTCGCTCCATCGCCCAGGCTAGAGCGCAATGGCGCGATCTTGGCTCACCGCAACCTCTGCCTTCCAGGTTCAAGCGATTCTCCTGCCTCAGCCTCCCAAGTAGCTGGGACTACACGCACCCACCACCATGCCCAGCTAATTTTTGTATTTTTAGTAGAGACGGGGTTTCACCATATTGGCCAGGCTGGTCTCCAACTCCTGACCTTGTGATCCACATGCCTCAGCCTCCCAAAGTGCTGGGATTACAGGCGTGAGCCACGATGCCCGGCCTTGCCTGTCGCCGTTGCCTTTGCAGTTTACAGTGATAAGTATAAATAGCATATTCAATACATTCTCCAGATGGTCATTATAGATATGTTGATAAAATTTCTACTTTGTTACTGACTTTCAGAATCAGAGATAAATTGACCAGCCAACAGAATGCCCCAGAAATAGTGATTAATTAACTTTATAGAATTCTTAGAAAATCCTTAGAACATATGAATGTTCTGCCATACTTAAAGAATAGTTTGAAACTTACAGTATCCACACAATCTATTTTGCTCTTGGATAGGTAAACTGAATTATGACATTCATGCTAGTTCCTCCAAATACTCAGTTTCAACCATCAGCTCTCTGGAGTGCCTGGTTTGATAATGTGGGCTAGTTAGCTTCTTTTTAATGTACTAAGGCTGCTGTGAAGACAAGTTCCTAAAAGATTATTTCATTTCCTCAGTTGCAGCACACTTTCCTTCATTTATTCAAAATTCTTAGTAATCTTTTATACCCCACCAACTACACAGATACTCAAGGTAGAATCCTGGTCATTGTTATTCTCTCTCACTCCCACAATCCATTTGTTAACATTCGTCATTATTTCTACATTCTTAATAACTCTTTTTTATTTTATTTTATCTTATTATACTTTAAGTTCTACGGTACATATGTACAACGTGCAGGTTTGTTCCATATGTATATATGTGCCATGTTGTTTTGCTGCACCCGTTAACTCATCATTTACATTAGGTATATCTCCTAATGCTATCCCTCCCCTCTCCCCCAACCCCACAACAGGCCGAGGTGTGTGATGTTTCCTTTCCTGTGTCCAAGTGTTCTCATTGTTCAATTCCCACCTATGAGTGAGAACATGCAGTGTTTGGTTTTTTGTCCTTGTGATAGTTTGCAGAGAATGATGGTTTCCAGCTTCATCCACGTCCCTACAAAGGACATGAACTCATCCTTTTTTATGGCTGCATAATATTCCATGTGTAAATCTATATTCTTCTTGTATTCACCATTCCAGAGATTTATTTCTTTTTCTCAGTTTTGCCTGCTTGGACTCTTTAAAGAAATGAGAAACCAACTTTTCTGCTTTCATATTTATCTTCTTCCAACCTACCACCAAATTAATTCTTGTGAAATGCATACTTATGTTTGTGCTATCTTGCTTAAAATGACTCAAAGTCATCCTGCTCGTTGCAGGATAAAGTCCAAGCTTCTTAGCAAATCAGTGTGGTGATGGTGTTCCACTGACTCTGATTCAGGCTCTTCCTTTGTCACTTCCAAACATGCACACACAACTCCTGGCATGCCTGACACACCTGCAGCTCCTGAAAGGTCTAATACTCTCCCACCTGAGTCTGTGCCTTTGAACACTGTGCTCCTTCTGCCTGGAAATATCTCTCTTTTGTCCAATGTCTATTTTAATGCAATTCCTTTGTTCACAGCAGATCACTCAATTCCTTTTACATGAAGCCTTCCTTTCCTTTAGAATCAGGAGAAGATGCTCCTTTTCCATGTCCTCATTGCACCATGTATTTATTCAGCCATTCATTCAATCAATAAATATTTTAAGGCAGCCAGCTATAGTGGTTCATGCCTGTATTTTCAGCACTTTGGGACACTGAGGCAGGAGGATCACTTGAGCTCAGGAATTTGAGGCTGCAGTGAGCTGTGTTTGCACCACTGAACTCCAACCTGGGCAACAAAGCAAGATCCTGTCTCAACAACGACAACAAAAAGAAATATTTAAAGGAAATTCATTATATGCCAATCACCATTCTATATATTGCATTGGTGGTTTATTTTTGGCTTTTTTTTAAAAAATAGACCTTCGTTTATAGAACAGTTTTAGACTTACAGCAAAATTCAGCAGAAAGTACAGAGCTCTCATATACCCTCTCCCCTCCACACTGAAGCTTTCCTCACCATCAGCATCCCACACCAGAGTGGTACATTTATGGTTATGTACACTATATCTTGATTTTTGAAAAGTTTTTTAAAGGTAATCACCTCAAATAAATGGGGGTACATTCATACAATGGAATTTTATTCAGCACTAAAAAGAAATGAGATAACAAGCCATGAAAAGTCATGGAGAAACCTTAATGTATATTACTAAATGTATTGGCATTTTATTGAACAAGAAGATAAATTGCCTACTCTCAAATAGACAAGTAAACACACAGACAAGCTGATAAATAACATGAGAGTTTAAAAAATATCTAGTGCTTTCAAAGCAATAACACAAAGAAAGGATATAGAATAACTGAGGGAAGAGGCAGAAGTTTGCTTTATCGTAGGTAGCCAGAAACTCCTCTCTGAAGTACTGTTGTTATTGAGACCTGAATATGAACAAGAGCCTGTCTTGTTAAGAGCTGAGAAATAGTGTTCCTGATAGAAGGGGCAACAAACGCAAACACCCTGATGTAAGAATGAGTTTAACACATTAAGGAAACTAGTGGAAGACCAGCATAGACTCCTGTTGATATGCAACACGCTGTGATACTTTCATAACGTCGAAATGTATACTTCAAGCTCCATGAGGCTCTGTTGCGCCTCTAATCCTCATTAGGCAATACAATGCCGGCTTACAATTTATTAGGCACATAATATTTTTTTTGAAAAAAAAATAGAGTGTTTACTTGTTTATTTCCCCTTCCATGGTAATGAGCTTCTTGAGGTCAGGACCCATATTTATATATGTGTCTTTGAGGGCTGTCACCAAATTTGACCCAAAGAAGGTACACAGCAAATATGTTTTGAATGAATGGATAAATGAATTAATTAAAGATATAGAAATAATGCGAACATTAAATTGTATTGGCACTTATTTTATAATGTTAACTATAAACTAATTTCTAAATGATGTCACATGTCCTTAACCCAGCTTTACATTAGAAGAGAGGAGGAATGAAATGGGAAAGAGACTAGATGCTGTGCTCATCATCCTTCGTCCCGTTTTCACCTCATTGCCCAAGGACGTGTTCTCCTTCTCTAGGGAGCAGGCTGCCTGTGATTATTTGTACTTCCAGGTGGCACTGCCAAAAGCCTGTGGGAGCTGACTATTTACTGGTTATGGCTAATCCCAGGGTGTTTTTTTTTGTTGTTGTTGCCATTGAGATAAATGGTGCAGGCTGAGAATAAGATCATGAATGAAGCAAGCTTTCACCAGGGGGCAAAAGAAAACTTGTGTTGTATATGATCTTTACAAGATCCCCAGAGTCTATCTGTGGATTTACTTTAAGAAAAAAAATGGAGTTAGGAATTTGGTGTACACAATTCCAATGTTAAAATTGCTGTTAAATAGGGAAGAGTTATAATCAATTAAAGGTGATAAAATTATTAATTTTGAATCACTTGTTTATCTTTCTTCCTTTTCTCCCTTTTCATGTGTTCTTACTCTTGTTCTTACTCTATATATACTCTCATTTAGTGATAGATCAGGATGAAGACTTTGAGATGTAAATCTTATTTTTCTTCCATTTACCGATGGAAGTAACAAAACCCAGAGAGTGGAACTGACATAATCAAGGTTACATAACAACTAGATGTAATGATGGAATTCATATTTCACTATGTTGCCTCTTGTGCTTTCAAAGGTATTACCTGAAATAAGTTTCTTTAGCTGTAAAATGAGAATACCTTGTTTAACTTGAAAAATTATTGTAAAGACTTAATTTGATATAACTTTTATTCTCCTGAACTAGAATTCAGAGGGATCAGCAGCAGAGTGTGCCCTTTATATAATGATGACTTCAACTGTATGGTGGTGAAGAGCCCCTGACTCAAAAATTTCACTGTTTAGCCCTGCATGTATTCCACATACTCCACAGAATACTATGCAGCCATGAAAAAGAATAAAATCCTTTGCAGCAACATGGGTGTAGCCGGAGGCCAATTATTCTAAGTGAATTAATGCTGGAACAGAAAACAAAATACCACATATTCTCACTTATGGGGGACCTAAATATTGAGTATACATGGGAACAAAGAAAAGAACAGTAGGCACTGGGACCTACTTGAGGGTGAAGGGTGGGAAGAAGATGAGGATCAAAAAACTACCTATCAGTGGCCAGGCGCGGTGCCTCACGCCTGTAATCCCAGCACTCTGGGAGGCCTAGACGGGCGGATCACAAGGTCCGGAGATCGAGACCAACCTGGCGAACACAGTGAAACCCCATCTCTACTAAAAATCAAAAAAATCAGCCGGGCGTGGTGGCGGGTGCCTGTAGTCCCAGCTACTCGGGAGGCTGAGGCAGGAGAATGGTGTGAAACAAAGAGGCGGAGCTTGCAGTGAGCCGAGATCGCGCCACTGCACTCCAGCCTGGGGGACAGAGCCAGACTCCGTCTCAAAAAAAAAAAAAAAAAAAAAAAAAAAAAAAACTACCTATCAGTTACTATGCTCATTACCTGGGTGACGAAATAATACGTACAGCAAATCCCTGTGACACGCAATTTACCCTTGAAACAAACCTGCACATGTACCTTCTTGAACCTAAAATAAAAGTTGGAAAGAAAAAAAAGAGAAAATCTGCTTTTGAATGGCAGTCCTGATCATGTGCTGCTGTTGAAAGTTCTATCCACTCACTTTCCAGGACATCAATTCCTTGATGCTACCATCTTCTCGAATACACACACACACACACACACACACACACACACAAAGGTGAATAGGAAAGAGAAGATGATCAGTGGGAAAATGTGATTAAGCTTTCATTGTATTCCAGCCACTAGACAAGAATATTTATTTAAATATTTTTGTGTATTTCAAAGAAAAACTATTGTGTAACCTCATTTATAACTGAAAGATATAAGGCCCACAAAAGCTATCATTCACAAGTTAAGATGTCTTATAAAGTGTCAAAGTCACTGCACCAAGCCATCTCCTCCATGTATTGTTAAATGTATTTAATAGTCTTTGGATTATTGAAAACAGCTGATTAAAAAAAATACCAAATAATCAAAGAAGATAGACAAGAAGATCATTTTAATGTGTTTTATATTCTAAATGCTTTGGCCTCTTTCCAACAGTTGGCATTCACTGTTAGATAATAAATTACAAACCTGGAATACCTTCATAAAATACTATACTTTTTAATAAATATTTGCCATCATTCATCTTTCATAATTTTTTATTCACTTTATTGTTTAACCTTAAAATACCTCTTTGACCATTTGTTAACTTTCTTTAGGTTGCCCTGTTGTATAATCTATGTTAATTTTCTTTTTACTCTTTGAAAAAAAAATAACTCGTTGGATGTTTTACATTAAAATTTAAAGAGTAGAATAATCTTTATGGAAAACAAATGCTGAACATTTTAAAAACATAAAGTCTTGGCAGATACTATAAGGAAGAAAATCTGGGAGAGTTTGAAGATTGTTTAGTTATGGAGCTCCACCATTCATTAATTTCCTATGTTCCATACATACATGCTTTGATATTCTTATCAATCAAACATGTATAGGACATTTACTATGTTTCAGGTCCTAAGAATGGAATTTGGGAGTGGATTACACATGACTTTTGCCCTGAAGGATCTCAACATACAGTAGGTGAAAAATGAAAGCATACAAGCTCAATAAATAAATGGCTTACAAGCGTTTCTTTTTGTTTACCATATTGGCTTCTGATAGTATGCTCACCTTTGCTGTCTACCCAATATTGTGTATGTCTGGCTGGATCTCTATCACCTACTGCTTGAACCACTACCAAGAATCTCTCCCACTCCCAAATAGGATTTCTGCCTCTTGTCCCCAACTGTTTTGCATAACCCCCATCTTGACAGCCTTTTCATGAGCCATAGCCAAACTTTGGTAACAGCACATTTTTTTACTAAGAGCTCATCTTGGATTGAATTTCAGGACCCTATTTGTGGCATTCTGGCTACCCAGAGAGTTTCTGAGTTTAAGCTAAATAAAGAGAAAAAGGTGAACTAATTTAGTGTTTTGTTATCAAATTGTCATAACTACTTTGAGCTTGGATTCTATGTAGTTCTATTGTACATTGACCAATGTTTGTAGTAGGACTGTGGGCAGAGGGAATGGGGAAGGAGGCAGAGAGACACACGGATGCTTCCTGAAATCCATCAGCTTCTAGAACTTTGGGTCACTTTACCTCATTTTTCCCACTCTCAAATCTGAGAGTTTTCTTGTTTCGGCCTTAAGCAAATCCTTCCTACCTGGTCATAGAACTGTGATGGTTTTATTGCTCTTAACAACAGTTGAATTATTCTTATACTTAAGTTTCTAGTTTCTGCCGAACTGTAATAACCTCTAACTCCTCGAATTGTGCTCCAAATTTAAAGTAATTAGACTACTTGTCTATATAAAGTTATTTTTTTCTTTTTCCCTCATATGTGTGTGTATGTATGTGCAATTGATTGTTATTTAACACATAGTTCCCTAGAGGAAATAGAAGCAAAAAACAAAACAAAACAAAAAACAAACCCCAAAGTATTAAAACAGGCAGCAATAATCCACCAGTTCTCTCTGACCACAAGAATAAATTCACAGATGAAATTGATTTGTTAAAAACCCCTAGCAATACTTGTGTCCTTTTAAAGAAATTTAAAGATATTCACATTTCTAGGGATAATTTTTAAGATTTTGTGTGAGGCTAGTGTAAGATGAAAAAAAGCCCACTTTATTTAGTTGGGATACATATACAGTAACCCCTTTATCTTTTAACTCTCCATGTCATCTTAGGAGAGTCATTTCTTCTGCTCTAGACTGTATAGCTTCAAACATTGGCCCATTTCAACTCCCTCAATTTTCCTAATGTAGAAAGTATGTTCTGATGATCCTCAACTTTGGTTGATTTAAGAGTTCCAGAGGCCCATAAAGAGCAGAAATTCATATGAGGCTGGTGTGGCATGAGTAGTTGAGTCCCGATGCCTCTACAAACACAGGCGGCTCTTTTTAATCAGAGGTATATATGACCCATATGATGACTCTATAACCAGTATAATGCTATGATATATAAGTCCCAGCCTGGAATGCAGATGAATTTTCCTAAAGAGAAACCCATGAGGAGGGATCCCTTCCCCAAATTCATTCAGTAAAGTACTCACAGCCACATTCCTCTTCTTCTCATTACCTGCCCCAAACAACCAGAGGCCTCTCCCTTTAACCAATGATTTTCTTTCAATGTCTCGGTTACTATTATGGATTATTTTCTTTATTCAATTTCTTGCCATATTGCACATCACTCTTTACAACCTCAGCCTAAACAGAGCAGCCCCTGTCAATTTCTCTGCCCTGTCTACTCTTCTACAGTTTCTTTCCTTCTATCAGTGGACAATGAGAACTTACACAGACACTAAGCAAAAATTTAAAACGTTCTCTGCCATTGATAATGTGGAAAGAGGATGATTGTGAAACTCCATACACACATATATATGAGCGTGTGCGTGTATGTATACATTGTGAAACTCCATGTACACATACGCATATATATGTCTGTGTGTGTATATATATATCATAAATATACATATCATATATATAGATATCACATATATATGTATGTTTTTAACCCATAATTTGGGGCATTGATATTACATTTTATTTAGGAATCATGATGTGCAAATAAAAGCAGTTTAAAAGTCACCATACCAGATTAAGTGTTGACAACTATAAATATTTGTTTCATTACAAAAATTCAGCTATATGGAGGAAACAAAGTCGAGATCAAACTGAGGAAGAAGGAATAAAACTTTTTATAAATGCTGTTTCTGGAAATGAGTAAGAGTAGTTTAACACTGTTACTTGGTGGTGTGTTTTGAAAGCTACCTAAGACGTTTACTGTATTACCTTGGTTCTCCTGAACACAGAGCTTGAGACAAGGACTTGGATGCAATGTGGAATGTTTAATTGGGAAGTGATCCCAGGGACTAGGAGTAAGAGAGTGGGAAAGTGAAACAGAAAAACAGAAAAAGCCAAGCAAAAGTGCATCTATTACTGAGGTTAATTCTAGAGTGAATGAGGGCTTGATAACATCATGGCTTTCTGAGAACCATACAGAACCTCTTGGAATTTTTCACCTGAAGTATGGGATGCAGAGGCATTTATCCAACAACTTTTGTCCCTCTCGCCCCTAGCCCACTCATCGTAGGTGGAAAGATGCCCCTAGGAAGATTAATGCTTCTGCACTGCATGCTTTCAGAGTCTTGCAGGGCTTGGCTGCATCAGACAAGACTCAGAGGAGGAAATGAAGATATGAAGCCACAGTGAACCATTATTAGCAGGAAGACAGTAGCCATAGCAGACATAAAAGTGTCCACTTCCGTCGTGACTGAAGTTAGAGGGGAAGCCAAGAATATCTGTTGGTGCAGCAGATGTGTCTTCATGCCTGTCATCATACAAATCTTTCAATGGCAAATATATGCTTTAAAAATCAGATAACCAGTGACATTTCTCCTCACATGAATTTAACTGAAGAGTACATTTAAACATGCTCCTATCTTGATGAAAACAAGTAGTTTAAACCAATGACAGTCAAACTTAGATACGCAGAGGCAAGGGACTATCTGATTTTTGCATTCTAAGCACCCATCACAATAATTAACACCTGAATGGTATTTGATAAAAATAGCCAAATATATAATAATGGATTTAAATCAGTAGAAAATCTACAGGTCAGATATGCTTTGAAACCTAGAATGTGAGATCTATGAGGGAGTTTTGAAACAGCCAAGTACTGGGAATGCCTGCATATTTTATGTAGCATTTTAAGATTCATAAAGTGACAGTCGAAAGAGCTGTGTGCCTTTAAGTACTACTAAAAAAGGAAAGAGTACAGTATGTAATTAATAATGTCTACTATGGGTGCAAAAAATAAAAGTAGAACCAGTAGTTTGATGTATTGGCCTTTATGAATTGTTGTCTTACACTCCCATTTTAAAGATTGTAAAGTACAATCATATGCCGCATAAAGTCGTTTAGGTCAACTACCGATTGCATATATAACAGTGGTTATGTAAGATTATAATGGTATAATAGAGCTTCAAAATTCCTATCACCTAACATGTGCTGTACTATAATTTTTGTTGCTATTTTAAGTTGTGTTAATATACTATATATAACAACTTAAAATAACAATACATGTTATTAATATGCAATATATAACTACATATATATTTTATTATTGAAAAAAATATATATATGCTGTAAAAGAGACTCAGGCAAGTCCTTCAGGAGGTATTCCAGAAGAAGGCATTGTTATAGGACACAGTGGCTCCATGCATGTGATCGCTCCTGAAGGCCATCCAGTGGGACAAGGTGTGAGGTGAAAGACAGTCATACTGATGACCCTAACCCTGTGCAGGCCTAGGCTAATGTGTGTGTTTGTGTCTTAAAGAATAAAGACATAAAGAAAAAAATATTTGTGTACAGGTGTACAATTTGTGTTTTAACCTAAGTGTTATTACAACACTCAAAAATTTAAAAGAAATGTAAACATTCTTAAAATAAAATGTTAGAGTAAGTTACGTTCAATTTATTGCTGAAGAAAAAAAATTTAAAGATAAATGTAGTGTAGCCTAAGTGTACAGTGTTTGTAAAGTCTTCAGTAGTGCACAGTAATTTTCTAGGCCTTCATATTCACTCATCACTCACTCACTGACTCACCTAGAGCAACGTCTAGTCCTGCAAGCTCCATTCATGGTAAGTACACTATACGAGTACCATATTTTTACTGTACCTTTTCTGTTTAGATGTGTTTGCATATCTAAGTATACATACATGAATATTTACCATTGTATTATAATTGCCTAAAGTATTCAGTACAGTAACATGCTATACAGGTTTGTAGCCAAGGAACAAGAGGCTATACCATATAGCCTAGGTGTGCAGGAGGGTATGTATACATCTAGGTTTCTGTAAATGCACTCTAGGATGTTTTCACAATAACAAAGTCACCTAACAATGCATTTCTCAGAATGTATTAAGCAACACATGACTGTAATATAATTATTTGTAATCTAATTATGAGTTCACATAATGATTAAGGGCATGGATTAGAATCTAGATTCTTTCTTAAGCTAAATAATGAGGTTTAGAAGGAAATGAAAAGTAGATAATGACTGTTTACTTAGCAGATTTGTGGTAGAATGGTACATAATGAATATAAAAAGTGGCGCTGGTTAATGAGTAAAAAAAAAAAGAAAGAATGAATAAGATCTAGTATTTGATAGCACAACAGGGTGACTATAGGCAATAATAATTTAATTTTACATTTTAAAGTAACTAAAAGAATATAATTGGATTGTTTGTAACACAAAGGATAAATATTTGAGGTGATGGACACCCCACTTACCATGATGTGATTATTATACATTGTATGCTTTTATCAAAATATCTGTATACCCCATAAACATATACACCTACTGTGTACCCACAAATATTAAAAAATAAAAGATTTTTAAAAACCCTATGTAACATTGAAACTCGATGGCAGCTATTACCAGAAATGATTTTAAAAACCTCCTATTGCAAAGTTCTTCTAAGTCAGAAAAGCATAGCTGATATGAAATCAAGTGAGATGAACCATACCATGTCTTTTTCAGGGCTGTTGAACAAGAACTGCCTGTATTTTCAGAGTAGAATCTTGGCTAAGATGTGCTGGAAACAGTGCCATCTGCTTGTCCATTGTCTAGATATAGAAAAAGGACTTTAGTTAAAACTCTTTTGAAACAGAAAAGCTAAGGAGGGTTGTTGCTATAGAGTGTGGCCAAATTGAGGAGAACAAAATGCATGGGCTGCTTCTCTGAATTTTGCCTGAGTGTTGTGTCCCAACTCTAATGACCAAGACTAACTACAGAGTATGGCCACAACTGGATTACATGTACATTATGGAGGAATCTGTTAACGGAAGTGAATATTTCTCTTTTTTGTGGTCTCAATAAGAAAGCATTCTAAGTATACTTCTGTGGCTTAAAATCTGTAACGAAACTCATCGATGCCTATTGCTAGGGGGAAAAATAGTCTAGTTGAACTAAGAGCTACACTGAACATGAAAAAAGAAAATAAGTGCTTAGCTCCAGGTGAAGCTAAACTATGCATGGCAGCAAGTGCTCTGAAGATAGTGATGCTTGCACTGTGTCAAAAAAGGTAGTGACTAAAATAGCCTATCCTTCTTTCTTGCTCCTTGCATCTCCCACTCTGGTCAATTGGAGGGCTCATTTTATCCATAGAATATCACATTTAGCATCCTCAGTCATGAGAATAAATTTACCACAATCAATCGGAAAAATCTACTATCAATGGATGCTATATTTCTGAGGCTACTACTGGCATAGGGTAAAATGTTTGCTTATACAGGGGTTAAATATAAAAAAAAAGGAAATAAATGCATTGTTAGATTCCTTAAAACTTATTTCCCTTTAGGAGTCAGAGAAAACATGATGCTGATATATATAATTGGGAGGATTTTCCTTAATAAAAATATCTACCATTTATGTTCATGCTTTCTTGATCTTCAAAGTTTTTCAGACGTTAGTTTGAGTCTAGCTAGCTTAAATTTTGCAAAATGGAATTAACATGGTTTTTGCTGACTTATTCACAGAATATTTGCAGGAGCATATGATATCATTCATGGAAAAATAATTTGTGGACTGTAAAGCCCAATTGAAATAAAGCAACTAAATACTTTTTTACAGGTTGGGGTTTAAAATTTTAATGTCTATGCCTCTCTCTCTCTCCCTCTCTCTCTCTCTATCCATCCATCAGTCTATTCTATCTATCTATATCTATATCTATCTATCTATCTATCTATCTTTTTTTTTTTTTTTTTAGATGGAGTCCCGCTCTGTCACCCAGGCTAGAGTGCAGTGGCATGATCTTGTCTCAGTGCAACCTCCGGCTCCTGGGCTCAAGCGAGTCTCCTGCCTCAGCCTCCAGAGTAGCTGGGATTACAGGATGCGCCACCATGCCCAGCTAATTTTTGTACTTTTAGTAGAAACAGGGTTTTGCCATGTTGGCCAGGCTGGTCTTGAACTCCTGACCTCAAGTGATCCGCTCGCCTTGGCCTCCCAAAGTGCTAGGATTACAGGCATGAGCCACCACGCCTGGCCTCTATCTATCATCTATCATCTATCTATCTATCTATCTATCTATCTATCTATCTATCATCTATCTACCTATCATTTATATTTAATGCACACCTGTTTCAGACTAGGCTCCTCCATAAACTCTATAGATAAGAATTTGTTTACTCCTTTAATGTTTGTCTGTAAGACATCTTTGATTAAAATAGGGAGGCTTACTTTTAGTTTTTTGCCCAAGGTCAATCTGGGATTTGAACCCTAAACTTCCAACTACAAAGACAGCCACATTTCTTTCCAAAGAATCCAAATTGAATGTATTTGATGAGGTAACTGATATCATAGATTGAGATCTGATTTGCTAGTTCTATAGGAATTTTGCACCTACATACATTTTTAATATAAGTTTTCATCCCAAGGGTCTTGTCAAAAACCTACTCTTTTACTCACCTTGCCAACACTTGGAGGCATGACTTATTTCTAAAACAAAACTGCAAGGCAAATGTTCACTGCAAAGTAGACCAGAGATGAAGATATTTAGAAACGATTTTTTTTCAATTGTCGTATAGAATGCAGCATTTTAGTGGTTTATTTTTTTTCCATTTCACAGCCAGTGTTTATACACAAAAATCTTGGAATACTCTTGTTTTTGTTTCATGTGTTGCAGCTTTTCTAGGAGCACCACTGTCTTCCAAAAACAAGTAAAATGACTAAGATTACATTAATTTGCATTGCATTACATAACCTGTTGAGAAAACAGAACGTGTTTATAATTTTTAAAATAATTTTATCATAAATACAAGTCTACATATCAAATTAGAGTGATTTTCCAGAAGATCCACTTTTTATGCAGAAGTGTAACATGTAACTCAGTCCTAGCTAATCCAATTATTGCAACCTCCTAACCACAGTGATTGGTTCAGTTATGAGCATGTGATCCAGTGATAGTCAATGAAATTTACTAAAACTCTTCCTTCAATTTGATAGGAATGATTCTTACAGTTTTTGCTGCAATTACCTAAAAGCATTTAAGCTAGCATTACTATAAATATTTTTGACATAACAAAAGGAGGCAAGATAGAGAAACCAGACCCTTAAACATTTTCCACAATATTTTGTAATGAAAATATTCATACATAGAAAGTGAATGAAGCTATTGTACATTGATTACCAGATTACCCACTAATCAGATTCTGAAATTAACAGTATATAGAGATTTGCTTTTTCATACACCTAATTCATCCTTTTGTCCACTCACAAAAGGATATCACTTTGATATCAAAATCATATCAAAATCACTAACTTTGATAAAATAAGTCACAGACTAGTTTGATAATATCCTCGCATCTATGACGCCAGGCAGAATTTCTGCTGGAATTTTAGTTACATTCATCAATAAATTCCCCCTTTTACTGAAGCTCGTTTGATGCAAATGGCATAGTGAGTTTTTAAATTAACATAGTGAGTTTTATAAATGGCATAGTGAGCTTTTAAATTAATAGTTGTACATAACTGTTGAGTTGTTTTCCTCCTTCCTCCCACCTCGTTCATAGAAAGTGTGAATAAAGAAGAATATCAGTCCAAAATGGTTCCCATAATCTGTTATTTGTGCAATGACCCTCACAACACATTCCCATAAGTAACTATTGGAATATATAAATTTGTTTTCAAATACCTTTCCACTTGGTTGAATATATTTTCATGAGCCAATACTTTGTCATAACATAATAAGGAATATTTGTTGTAAACGCTTTTAGTGAGTGCTACTGCAGAACACTTCCCAAATCACTGAAAGTATATTTTGGAGTTGCAGCAGTTACCAGAGTCTGCTAATGAGGATAGAGTTTATGCTGTAAAATTTTCAAAGCTTACAAATCATAATTGGATCATGAAGAGATCGTGAAATATCAAATATTATTTTAAGTGACTTCTAACAATAAAATTACTGCCTGGGGATTTTCTCAGTATGAGACTTTGAAATCTTTTTGCTAAAATCCTAGCCATAGAGCTCAGATAAATATAATTTAAAGTTTTAAGCCAATATTTTAATGTTTTGAATACTTCTGTATTTCTTAATAAATATTTTATAAGCTATCACCACTGATGCATTTTAAGCATATGAAAAACTTACATAGTAATTAACGTAGCACCCCCAGTGAAAAGTTGGAAAGGTTATTTTAAATAGTGCAGATATTGCAAAAGCTATCCAAGTAAAACAGAGTAAACGCATGAAATCTTCAAATCTTCATTAGGGTTACCAAATATAAATGGCTGGCTGAGGTCATTCATGCAATCTTTTCTATTTCTTTCTTTATCTCTAACTGAATTTCAGTAAATAAAGTGTGAATGAGCCTTTGTCATACACTTACATAATTTCTTTCATGTAAGTAGGTGTTTTGTCTCATCAAACCGGCAGCTGGAGTGGCCCCAAAAGCAGTGGAAGGGGAATTCCCACAAGGAAGGGCCCCCAACCTTCCCAAGATGGGTCTGGTTGGGATTCCAAGGAAAGAAGCACCAAATGTGAGGGAGATCAGTCGAAAGCGTTTATTAGGTAAACATACTTCTAGAGGTGTTGCAGCAATCCTCACAACGGGATAATGAAAGAAAAGGGGTGCTCTACCTGGATAGGTTTACAGAGATGGAGCCAGGGTGTGGAGTCTCTATGAGGGCTTAAGGAATTTGACTCAGAGCTGTGGCCTCTTTCTTTCAGTGTTTTGGGCAACAAGCTATATACCTTTATCAGTGTTTGGGAAAGTTCAAGACTCCTGTTTAGGTTCAATTCAGCTGGGAAAAATCTGCAACTGTCTGTGTCACATTGTGGCCACAGGGCACTGTGTGATTTTCAGTGAGAACACAGAAAGAAAATGGCGGGGGGACTGGGGACCCTACAGTAGGTGTCAGTATCAACCAGGGCCTTTTAACCATAAGCTGTTCTTTTCCAGGAAGCTTAAAGATGTGTTGTGCTGTCTTGATAGATATAACACATTTTCTGTGATACATAAACACCATGGAATACTATGCAGCCATAAAAAAGAATGAGGTCATGTCCTTTGCAGGAACATGGATGGAGCTGGAAGCCATTATGTTTAGCAAACTAATGCAGGAATAAAAAGCCAAATACTGCCTTTTCTTACTTACAAATGGGAGCTAAATGATGAGAACACACGGACACATAGAAGGGAACCACAGACACTGAGGCCTAACAGACAGTGTGGGGTGGGAGGAGGGAGAGGATCAGGAAAAATAACTAATAGATACTAGGCTTCATGCCTGGGTGATAAATTATCTGTACGGCAAGCCCCAAGACCAAGACTACCTATGTAACAAATCTGCAAATGTACCCCTGAACTTAAAATAAAAGTTAAAAAAAAGAAATAATACATTTTTTATATGGCTATTATTTAATGCCAACTAACTCTGTATCAGGTAGTATTCTAAGTACATGTCATATTTTATTATATTCAACTTTTTTAAACTATAATTTCCTAAAATAATTATGAATGCCCCCCATTTGTAGAAGAGGAAACAGGTAAAAAGAACTTAAAAACTTGGTCAGTTTCACACAGATAAAATCTGTGACCTATCTGACTCCGAAGACAATGTTCTTTACAACTGTGCTTTTCAAACAGGAAAAAATGAGGACCATCAAGAAGATGTAAACACCACAGATGCCAAAGCCATTCAGTGTGAAAGACACTTTATTTGACGTTCAAGCCAGACCCTCTCTGCCAATGATCGCATCAGTCTCCTGCAGGGGCTGATGTGATAATGTGGTCATCCAGAAGCTCCCCCTAGTCCTTAATGTAAAATTAATGCCCTCTAATAGAAGTCTGCACATTATGTGGAAAACTGGAGGACCCTTTAAATATAGATGCAGACACTCAGGAACCTACATACTGCAGTTTGAAAATGTTTCAAAAAGAACTGTTGTGAAGGTCAGAAAAAGATGCAAGGTCCCCTGAGCATCAAAAGTTCTCAATCAATGGGAGATGTTCATTTTTAGTGTTTTAATAATAGCAGCCAACAACCAGGAACATTGCGCTGGCCAGTCTTTTGTACTTTTAAGCCAGACAATTGAAAGGCTGACATTATTACAATGTCTTCTTCTCTACCTTTGTAAACTTATCTGCCAGATATACAAATTTGTGACCTTGAGATATGGTGAGAGGACAAAAATGAGCTGGGAGCTGGTGATGGAAAACAGTCCCTTTTATGAAGTTGGTGTGCTCAACTAATGAATGGACTTACCAGTTCTTTAGAAAATTCCACAGTAGGCAACAGAATCAACACTGAAATAGAAATGTATTCCTGGGTTCTGTTTCCTTCCCGTCTTGTTGGTTTATACACCATTAACTTTGTATTATCACTCCAGATGCATCAGTTCTATAAAGCATGTTTTATGCTTTGCTTTGCTGGTTTGATTGTCTTAAACACATTCCAGTTTAACACACTAGTTTAACTCCTGCCTCTGTCAGAAAAAGCCAGTGTGAAATAGAATTTAATGCACAGTTCCTTCAGAAGCAGTGTTGAGTAATTCAGAGGTTCCACAATATGTTTATTAAGCACCTAATATGTACTAAGAATTGATTAATCTCTGTGGATAAAACATAGAGCCAAAAGAGATGCATTCTTTGCTGGCATGAAATTTGTGGCCTAATGTATAAAAGGACAATAAGTAAACGTTTTCTGATCTTTGGCCAAGCTTTCTCTCTAAATCTAGAATAAATCATCTTATTAAAGAGTAAGATAAAGTACATCATAGACATTTCAAATATTAAATCTGAAAGAGAGTTAAATCTTGGGATGGCAAACACTTATCAGGAAAGATGTCACCACTCCACCCATGCCCGTAGTAGACATCATTAATTGACCATTGTAATCTTCCTTCATGGATTTCGGTGTAAACTCAAACTCTATCACAGCATGGCTTTCTAGACAGGCACTGTCAATTATTAGAAATATACACAATAGTTGTCTTTGTTCTTTTTTGCTATTCCTAATGCACTTCATCTGCTCCTATTTGCTAAATGTTGTAATTGACAACTAGAAAGTCCACATGAGCTAGCCTAGGTGAACCAGTCTGGAAGATGCTAAGCTGGAATCTGAATTGGGTTTTCTAAATGTCCATGCAAAACTCTCTTCCATTCCATCATACACCCTCATCTCACTGCCATAAAGCACTTCAGAATGGAACATATCGGAAGATACATGCTTTTGAGAAGAAAAGGGGATTTTATGATGGTGTGCTGAAGCCATAATATGGCTGGATAATCCTATTTTTCTTTTATTTTAAAAAATACTCTGAAATACTTTTAAAAATAAACTTTTATTTCTTCCTAGTGTTGTGAGAAAAGAGGCCCTTCCTCTATGCCCACGGTAGAATTCCAAGATCTGCTCTTTACTGCCAAGTCTTGGAGTCGAGATTAATCACATCTAATTCTTAAGCTTAGAACTTAATGTGACAGATAAGTAGCTTGAAATAAGCTTCATATCTTCATTAGTGTTGTATAATTGAAAAAAAAGAATATTTTTATATCATGATTGTACTCTTCAAAAATTCTTCCAAAACATAGTCCCAAACCACTACAAATGTCTTAGAAGTGGGACTTAGAAAGCTCCTCAAAGAGCTGAAACAATTGTCTTCCAGAATTCAAGAAACCATTGTCGAAAGTGAAGAATAATTTGTTAATTCATTTTATCTAAAACTACAGTATGACTTCCCATTCTCATTCCCAGTGACATTAAATAATTATAATAAATAAGTGGAATTCACTATTAGAGAAATCTCATAATCAAATTGCCCAGCAATGATGCCTAGCACATAGGATAAAAAGGGTCATGGTCTCAAACTATCTCCTCAGCACTCCTACCAGGGGAAAAACTAAAAGCAAATATTGACTGTGAGGGAAAAAGTAACAACTGAACATTGGGAAATATGGTGGATACCACCCAAATCAAGTGATTGAAGCTAGTTATAATCAATAAAGGGACATTTGGAAATTATGTTTCGCCTGATAAAATGCAATGGAAAAATCATGGTGACGCTCTGGTGATCTAGAGGCTTAATTAAGATGTGTACCCTGGCCAGGAGTGATGGCTCATGCCTCTAATCCCAGCACTTTGGGAGGCCAACGTGAGTGGATCACCTGAGGTCAGGAGTTTGAGACCAGCCTGGCCAACATGGTGAAACTCCATCTCTACTAAAAATATAAAAATTAGCAGAGCATGGGGGCAGGTACCTGTAATCCCAGCTACTCAAGACGCTGAGGCAGGAGAATCACTTGAACCTAGGAGGCAGAGGCTACAGTGAGCGGAGATCGTGTCATTGGACGCCAGCCTGGACCACAAAGCGAGACTCCATCTCAAAAAAAAAAAAAAAAAAGGTGTACCCTGGATCTAATCATGAGGAAATATCTGTCAGACAAAGAGTGAGTTTTATTTTGCAAGATAACTGATCTGTAATACTTAAGGGTGTCAGAGATATGAAAACCTAGGAAGCACTTGAGGAACTATTCCAGATGGAAGGAGACTGAGGAGGCGTGGCAACTAGGTGCAATGTAGGATCCGTGGCAACTAGGTGCAATGTAGGATCCGGTATTGGATCCTTTCACCATGAAGAGCATGGTGAGATAATTGGTGAAACTTGAATGAGATGTGGACTGGATGGTAGTGATATGTGGATATGAATTTGATGATTCGTTGTTTGTGCCATTATTATGTCTTAGGGAAGCCTAGTTTGTGAGAAATGGACTTTGTGGTATTGAGGGTGGTGATATATCACATCTGTTGCCTGAACTTAGGAGGCTCAGAACAAATATATATATTTGTCCTGTTCTGGCTATCATTCTGCAAGTTTTAAATTGTGTCCAAAAAAGTGGGCTCATTTGACAGTGTTTATGTGTGCCCTAGTTTCACTGGGCAATTCTCATGTGCATTCTTCTAAGCACATTGCATCTGTTTACTAATTTAATCTCTATAACAACTTTATTAGCCAGTTACTATTATTAACTCTATTATATGGCTGAGAAAACTGAGGCACAGAGGAATTATTATTATTATTATTATTATTATTATTATTATTGTTATCTGAGACAGTCTTGCTGTATCTTCCAGGCTGAAATGCAGTGACATGATTATGGCTCACTGCAGCCTCAAACTTCGAGACCCAAGTGATCCTGCCACCACAGTCCCCTGAGTAGCTGGGATCACAGGCATGCACCACCACATTCTGCTAATTTTGTTTATTTTTAGGGTATCACTATGTTGCCCAGGCTTGTCTCAAATTCCTGGGTTCTGCCTCCCTAAGTGCTGGGATTAAGGCATGAGCCATGGTGCCCAGCCAAGGAATTATGAATGTTGGCAATGATCACCTAATTGGTAAGAGTTAGAAAAAGGGATCTAATCCAGGCCAGTGTTCTTAACCTCTATGTTTGGTCATAGACTAAATATAGGCAGCAAATCCTGAAATTACAGCAATATAGGTATAGCATAAAACCTTGAAGAGCTGACATCTGTAAATTAGATTATTAGATGTAATTAGTATTCTGTCCAGCTAATGCTGTCAAATACTTTGTGGTAGGCATTGGCTTTGGTGCTGGATGGGATTCAAAGTACATTTTAAAATATTTAAACATAATGCCTAAATATATAAAAAAGAAAGAAAGAATATGCAGGAAATCATTAGAAACTGGGAAGTTGAGGCAGATGGATCACCTGAGGTCAGGAGTTTGAGACCATCCTGGACCACGTGGTGAAACCCTGTCACCACTAAAATACAAAAAAATTAGCTGGGCGTGGTGGTGGGCGCCTGTAATCCCAGCTACTCAGGAGGCTGAGGCAGGAGAATCGCTTGAACCCGGGAGGCAGAGGTTGCAGTGAGCCAAGATTGCACCACTGAACTCCAACCTGGGCAACAGAGTGAGACTCTGACAAAAAAAAAAAAAAAAGAAAGGGAAGGGAAGGGAGAGAAGGAAAGAAAGAAAGAAAGAAAGAAAGAAAGAAAGAAAGAAAGAAAGAAAGAAAGAAAGAAAGACACACAGAAAGGGAGAAAGAGAGAAAGAGAGAGAGAAAGAGAGAGAGAGAAAGAGAAAGAAAGAAAAGAAAGAGAGAGAGAGAAAGAAAGAAAAAGAGAAAGAAAGAAAGAAAGAAAGAAAGAAAGAAAGAAAGAAAGAAAGAAAGAAAGAAAGAAAGAAAGAAAGGAGAAAGAAACTAGGAAAAACCAGAGGGAACAGAAGTTAGATTGTGATAATGAAATCATAAGAAAAATTCAAATCCATGTGATAACACAAGGTGGTAGTTTATGCTTCAGGATTTGGTATTCTTTGATTCCTTGTCAAGCTCTGCAACTCACTACTACAGTCACTGAGCAAGTAGGTAACCTCTTCTGGATCTGTATTTTTATTTGGAAAATGGGATTAATAATGCTAAGTCAGAGTGTTTTGCAGAAAGATAAAGTATACTTTTACTAAGCGTCAATACTGATGTAGATTATGTGCTCATTAAATACTAATTTTTCTTTTTTTTTTTTTTGCTATCAAATAGTAAGTTTTATTCATTCTGTATTTTGGTAGCCATGAACCATTCCTACCTCCCCCAACCCTCTCACTACCCTTCCCAACTCTGTTAAACACCCTTCTACTCTCTATGTCCATGAGTTCAATTATTTTGATTTTTAGACTCCAGAAATAAGTGAGAACGTGTGATGCTGGTCTTTTCTGTGCCTGGTTTATTTCACTTAACATAATGATGTTCAGTTCCATTCATGTTGTTGCAAATGACTGGCTTTCATTTTTTATGGCTAAATAGTACTCCATTGCATATCTGTACCACATTTTCTTTTTTTTTAAATTTATTATTATTATACTTCAAGTTTTAGGGTACATATGCACAACATGCAGGTCTGTTACATATGTATACATGTGCCATGTTGGTGTGCTGCACCCATTAACTCGTCATTTAGCATTAGGTATATCTCCTAATGCTATCCCTCCCCCCGCCCCCCTCCCCACAACAGTCCCCGGTGTGTGATGTTCACCTTCCTGTGTCCATGTGTTCTCATTGTTCAATTCCCACCTATGAGTGAGAACATGCGGTGTTTGGTTTTTTGTCCTTGTGATAGCTTGCTGAGAATGATGGTTTCCAGTTTCATCCATGTCCCTACAAAGGACATGAACTCATCATTTTTTATGGCTGCATAGTATTCCATGGTGTATATGTGCCACATTTTCTTTATCCAGTCTATCATTGATGACATTTGGCTTGGTTCCAAGTCTTTGCTATTGTGAATAGTGCTGTAATAAACATATGTGTGCATGTGTCTTTATAGCAGCATGATTTATAATCCTTTGGGTATATACCCAGTAATGGGATGGCTGGGTCAAATGGTATTTCTAGTTCTAGATCTCTGAGGAATCGCCACACTGACTTCCACAATGGTTGAACTAGTTTACAGTCCCACCAACAGTGTAAAAGTGTTCCTATTTCTCCACATCCTCTCCAGCACCTGTTGTTTCATTAACTTTCCTAGGGTTTTCAAGAGATAACTCTTCCCTTTGTAGGGAGAAAAAAAGGAAAAACTGAGTATCATGTTGTTTTCAAAGTTGGGAATGTATTATTTCTATAAGATATTTTTTCATCCCTCCCCATAATAGCTCGTTTCTTAGAATATTCATTGGGGATTTGGTATAACAACCTCATTTGTAAAGGCCAAAGGGTATGGAAGAGGAAGGGAGCAGTTAATGAGTGATAGGTGACAAGTCAAGGAGAAGGTGCTGGTCACTGTGCGTAAGAGTGCTAACAACATTCTGTCTGTTCCTTTTCCCTGCTGCTAGCATTCATGTTCTGTCACTAGTATGCAATCCTTTGCTTGCTTGGAATTAGACAGTGATGTTAAGCCATTTTGCAAATCTCAGCAAGTCCACAAGAGGTGTGGCCCCAAAATTCCCAACTATTTTTGCTAGCCGGATTTTAAATGCCCAAGGCTTTTGAATTTATTATAATTTAAGAATAATCAGTAGACCACCTCTCCTCTTTGGTTACTTCCATCTCTGTGTCTCAATGTCATTCCCAGCTCTGAGTATTTAACTCTAATTTCTCACTCAGTGACAAAACTCCAGATTTGTTGGAGCAATTTTGGCATTTAAAATGAAACAGCCTCCTTATATTACTGTGAGCAAGGTACCCAGAAGCCCCTATGAATTTCCTATTTCCATATGTACCAGATTTTCACATTCTGAAATGTTTCTTATGGGAACACGAGAAAACAGTTATAATTAAACTTAAGTAGAGAAACTATATTTAACACACTCTCTGGGATATATTCTGGAGAAGAGGCTTCAAAGCAAATCCTACATTAGTACGCACCCTGGGGTGGTGGGTGCAAAGTCAGAGGGGTCCCTCTCCCTTTCCCCTAAGCCTAATCTTAATATCTTTAGTAAGTGAAACCAGAAAATGCTTCTTTGGGGCAAGGACAAACAAACAAGAAACTTCCTTTTGCCTATGTCCACATTTGACTTTCAAGCAATGCATACATTTTTCCTGCTAAGACAGAAGTAGATTTGCATTGATTTATAAAAATGCCATCTTATTCAGAAATTAAGGCAAAAAATTGCTAAAGAATCATCTGCTACTTGCTTTGTGGAAGAAGGTAAAATAGTAATCAGATTCTGAGAAAGAAGAAGATTTATCTCTTGTCCACCCCTTCACTCGTATTTTCTCTTGGATCCAGGAAAAGGACTTTTTGTTAATCAATTATCCACACATTTTGTGTTAGTTTTCTATTCTTGCTATAACAAATTACCACAAAGTTACTGGCTTAAAACAACACAACTTACAATCTCTCAGTTATGGTAGTCAGAAATCCAAAGTGGGGTCTCACTGGGCTAAAATCGGGGCGGCAGTTGGTACGTGTTCCTTTTAGTGACCCTAGGGGAAAAATTAATTTTTCCCTCTTCCTCTATCTTCAAAGCCAGAAACATAACATATTCAAATCTCTGACTCTGACCTCCTCTTCTGCTTTCAGAGGCTATCAGTGAAGACTCTTCCATTCATAAAGGCCACTGTGATTACATAGGGACTACTTGAACAGTCCGGGATAATCCTCCCATCTCAAATTCAGCTAATTAGCAACCTTAATTCCATCTACAATCTTAATTCATCATGCCACGTAACATGACCTCTTCACAGGCTCTGGCACCTAGCAGGCAGTCATCTTTAGGTGGCCATTCTTTAGCCTACCACATCTATCAACCCAAAGTTACTGGATTTCAGTTTAGTCATTTGAAATGATCTAGTCAATGGCATGCCTAGCACTATGCTGAAATGAATGAATGACAAAGGAGAGGAAAATACACTTGCCTTCTATGAATTTAAGAGATCTTATTTTCACCATCAACCAAATGAATTTCCATGCACAAGCAATTTATATTTCCCTTTATTCTATTCACTCATCTGACAATGGAGTGAAACACGGTTCAACTGTAAAAGTATTTTATGATCCATAATAATTGTTGCTTCTCCTAACAATTCTGCAAAGTAAATAGGGAAAGTAATATCAAAATATAAAACTATCTTTTGCCAGAAGATGGCTTGCCTGGAAAGAAGGGAGCGTGGCTCTAAGTTAACTTTGTATCCAGAATGTAGATATCTTAAATCTTCAAGAGCATAAGGATCATAAAAGGCATTTTACCCTGTACTGTGTGGGTTAGATATGCATACATAAGAAAGGTACAACAATGTATAAGAAGTAAATAAATTTGCCCAATATTTCATTTTGAATGAGAATTTAATGTAATAGACCCATGAGTGTATCAACTGTCATAATAAAAAGTGTGGCAATGAGAAATCAATGATATAAAACCACCCAGAGAAATACAGATACATTTCACAATGCTTAGTTAAGGCAGAAACAAACAATTACATACTGAAATTAAGATTATAGATGCTATTTTTATAAAACACAAAAAGTTAAGAATGTGACAGTCTTTTAGAGGGTTTAGAACCTGACAGCAATCACAAGAGAGTCAGATTCTGGAGTGCTGGTAATGCTCTGTTTCTTGATCTTAGTGCTGATTGAATGAGTTTGTTTAGTTAGTGAAATTTTATGGTGTCGTACACTTTAAGATGTGTACTTTTCTGTATGTATAATCTATTGTACATTTCAAAACATTTAAAATGGGTTTACCTGATGTATTTGTCCATTTTCACACTGCTATAAAGAACTGCCCAAGACTGGATCATTTATAAAGAGAAGAGGTTTAATTGACTTAGAGTTCCACATGGATGAGGAGGCCTCAGGAATCTTACAATCATGATGGAAGGGGAGGCAGGCATATCTTACACAGCTTCAGAAGACAGAGGAAGAGCAGGGGAAATGACCACTTATAAAACCATCAGATCTCATGAGAACTCACTCACTCTCATGAGAACAGCATGGGGGAAACGGCCACCATGATCCAATCACCTCCCAAGAGGTCCTTCCCTTGACACCTGAAAATGGGAAAATAAATAAATTTACCATTATATAAACCACAAATATAAAACACCACACATATACTTTAGTAATCATAGTTACACCAATACTTTATTATTTATAATCATTTCCTCAAATATAAAATTAATGCCTCGTAGGGCAACTTTACTTTCTATGTATACCAAGACATATTTGTAAATATGAGAGAGGCTTGTGAAAAAAGCACCTATTAATATTTGTGAAAACAATATATGAGAATCTGATGGGCAGATTATGATTATGTTCTTTTAATAAGAATTTTTTTCTTTTTTTTTGAGACAGTGTCTCACTCTGTCGCCCCGGCTGGAAATCTCAGCTCACAGAAGTCTCGACCTCCAGGACTCAAACAATCCTCCCACCTCAGCCCTCCGATTAGCTAAGACCACAGGCACATACCACTATGCTTGGCTAATTCTGTTTATTTTTTGTAGAGATCAGGTCTCACTATGTTGCCCAGGCTGAACTTGAACTCCTGGGCTCAAGTGATCCTCCTTCCTTAGCCTCCCAAAGTGCTGGGATTACAGAGATGAGTTACCACACCCAGCCAATAAGCATTCTTAATTTCATGTATTCTTTTTCTTATATTATTCCTTTAAGCAATTTATCTCCCAAGTTAAACTGGGTTATCACTAACAGCAAGTTAAATTTTTCTCCTAAAATCAGTAAAACTTTTATAACAAGCACTGATTTCTGCAATAGCCATGCCTGTCCCAAGGACATTCTGTACTACTCTGCTCTTACTGAGTGGAACGGGTCTCTGTGGCACCAACAAGTACCCACTCACAGCTCAGCGCATTACTCCATCATGGAACACTGTTCTGAAGATCGAAAATACTTTCTTTTAAAACAATCCAAGTGCATGATTGATTAAGTAGACACCCATTTAAACAATCCTCTATTCTGTCATGAATATAATATAACACACATATTTTACCAGGAGTATTTGCTTCAAATGATGCTTATATTTTGGGCTAACCCAGTCAAATGACTCTACAGCTATCCAACTAGCTGCAAGGAAGGAATATACAACTAGCTGCAAAAAAAGTTGGTATACTCTTGTGGAAGGCTAGTCCTTTATACGTAGGCAGGTGAAAAATATGCTCTGTAAGACTTAGTGGATGCGAGTTCTAAGTCCTAAACTAAGCTGTAACATGAGAAGCCTAAATAACATGAGTTTCAGGGTCCATGCTCACATGCGTATGCATCAATGAAATAACACTGCTTCTTTCTGCAGTAAAGATTATGGAGGCAGATAATACATTCTCTGCTGCCCATAGTTTTCAATATATGAAATAAGTGTCTCCAATCTTGATTGTTCCTTTCTTATTAAGCTCTGCTTTTTTTAATCAATGAAAACTGATGAGAATCCAGCATATAGTAGATGCTCAAAACTAGGTATTAAATGAATGGGTAAATGAATGAGGATATGAGGAAATCAGATTGAAAGGACTATCCCTAAACTGGTAGCTTTTATGCTGTCTTCTAGGGAAAGACATAGGCGATAGACAACTGCCTCAAAATCAGTGCCTAGGTTTTATGATTTTAAACATTTTAAATGTAAATTGTGTTCATGACAAAAGGACTACCTAAAGGATCCTATGGCCTCAAATAATCAGAAAAGAGATTGATGTGTTGCTCTGAGCCATGCCTGGCAAGGAGTAGGAGTCTGAAAGCTTGGTTCCCTCAGAGTATATCCATGAACTTCTGTATTTCTAGATTATATCTATATATCTATCTATATATATATGTATATATATGTGTATATATATATATAAAATAATCAGCTAATATAGATGGCTATTCCTTGGATCACAAAACCTAGGTGTCATTGTGGTTATTAACAAATGAAAGAAGGCCAGTGTTTTATTTGTTCCTCTATTTCCAACATCTATCTCCAGTTACTCATTGTTTAGGTCAAAAAGACATTTGAATACTGTGGTAACACACCTGTGACATCAAGTTATCAATTTTTAGTCTTTTGTATTTATTTATATCTTAAACTTGTACTTAAGTGAAACTATTTAGGTGGCAAAAGTGGGTTTATGTCCTGCTGCCAGTCTCTGGCCCTGGACATTTGAAGATTGAAGATGTCAACTAAACTGTTTCTAGATTTCTTTATCTATAAAATTAGAGTTCAAATTCTATGTACCTAGTAAGATTGCTGTGATGATTAAACAAAACAACACAATGTCTTATACATGTAAGACATTAAAATTAAAATTTATTTATTCTTGTATCATTGTTACGTGAATAGTGGGTATGTTTTAGATTGGGGAAATTGCAGGGAATTTAGAAACATCATGTGAATGGATGTGAATTCTGGAAATATCATCTACTAAGGTATTACGTAAAACTCAGTTTCCACATCTCTAAAAGGAGAAAAATAAATAAGCCCTATTTTTCAGGTTATAAAGGAAAAAATGTAAGATAAAACAAATTAACACAGAACCTAACTCATTCCAGGCATTCAAAATGCCTGAGCCAATTAATCCTAATTATGCCTCAAAGTTTTTCTTTTTTCTTAAAAAAACTTTTGCTTTTTAAAATCAAGCTCAGATCCAGCATCCAAATTGCAGTATTGGCTTTACGATATTGACGCTGAGAAATGCATGTCTGAGGGAAATTTCTACGAATATTTTGATGTGATAATTTGGTTCAACCAGTTCCGTGAGCACGAGAAGAAAGTGTGAATAGCTATGAATGACAAGTATCCAGTGTTCCAGTCTCAAATACCAGAGAGATGTGCCATCCTCCTGGAAACAGGTCTGACAAATTTAACTCCAAAGTAAAGACATAATGATTTTCTGGAAGGATTGCATATTAATATATTAGTAGTCATTCTTTTAAAGCGTTTGTTGTACTCAGTCCTTCACAGCTAGAAATATAATCCTGGGAAGATTGGAATGGGTAAGTAGTGCAATGCTGACAGTTTTTCAGGACAAGAAGTTGTTTGGCATGGGAGAAATAGCATAGGGTAGCAAAGGATCACAAGCTGTAGTATTGCAATGACCTTGATTTGAATATGATTTCACCACTTTCCAACGATATGACTCTGGGTGATTTTCTTAAATGTTGTTATCTTGCTTTTGTATTTATAAAATTAGAGAGGTTATATAAGTATATATATTATAATGTATATGTGTATATTCTCTAGGGAAACAAGCAAAAGTTAAAAGTTATTTATTTATTTATTTATTTTTGAGGTGGAGTCTCACTCTGTCACCAGGCTGGAGTTCAGTGGCACAATCTCGGCTCCCTGCAACCTCCACTTCCTGGGTTCAAGCGATTCTTCTGTCTCATCCTCCCATGTAGCTGGGACTACAGCTGTGCACCACCGTGCCCAACTAATTTTTGTATTTTTAGTAGAGGCGAGCCTTCACCATGTTGCCCAGGATGGTCTCGATCTCTTGACCTCGTGATCAGCCTGCCTCAGCCTCCCAAAGTGCTGGGATTACAGGTATGAGCCACTGCACCCGGCCACTTTAAAAAGTACACACACATACACACACACACACACACACACACACACATACACACAGTGGGATGGATGATTCCTCCCTGGCTAGTGCTGGCCCACATACCCCCTCCATGGGTGCTGGCCAAATTCTGCCACTTGTGTGTGTGTGTACTTTAAAAAATGTCTGTGTGTATACTATTTAAAAAATGTAACTTTTGCTTGTTTCACCAAGAGAGAATATTTAACTTGGCTAATATTCTCACGTGATCTTAGCCAAAAGGCCGAGAAGCAATACTTGGTTAATATTCTCACCCAGTGAGACAGTAGTTAGGATTACCAGTCTTACTAATATCTGTAGAAAGGGTTCCCAATTGTTATTGCTGTTGCTTCTGCATTTTCAGGAGTGAGGCCCCTTGGAAAGAGAAAATGTCACTTTAGTAGAAAGCAGGACCAAATAGGAGACAGGAAATCTAGGATACAACCTAAAGGAAAGAATCTATTTCGCATGCTGCCCCGTGTTTTCTTCTGGATCTTGAGACTTCCCATGCTATCAGTGAGGCAGATAGTGAAGTGGGACTTCCTGATTTCTTCCAATGGTCCTGCTTCCCATTGGTCATGACAAAACCCATGCAGAGTAGGGACATAGTACGTCTGTAGGTTCCTGGTACCAGAGAATATTAACGGCTCCATGCCAGATGGGTTTCTACATATTTGGAAGAAGTTATGGTGATTTCTAGGAATATATTTTGTCTCATGGTAATGTTGTCTCATTGTGATTCAGTCTTTGTCCATCTTCCCAGCACAGTATTTTATTCCTTTCTCTTCTTATTTATAGCACAATCCTTAGTCTCTGGTCATAAAAATTTCATGATTGCATCCAAAAATCCTTTAATTCACACACACAAACCCACAAACACAAATGAACACACACAGCCATGCATGTGCATATACATCCGCAACCATTTGTTTTGATTTGGAATGCCCTTTTCTTCAGTCCCTGTGACAACCTGGTAACTTCTCTTACCCCATGCTCCTTAGACTTCTTTCACTTCCTCACTTGGGGCACACTTTCTTTGTATTGGGGCCTTTGACCACCATGATCTCATTGCCTTTCATGTTCTGCCTATAACATTTTGCCTTTCCATCTTTAATGATCAATTTAAACATTTCTTCTGGGAGGTTTTTGTAAAATACTCTAGATTAGATTAGATATTTTTGTGTTCACTTTCCCCCAGCTTTATTGTAGTATCATTGGCAATTTAAAATTGTATATATTTAAGGCGTACAACCCAATGACTTGATATACACATACATTGTGGAATAATCACCATAACCAAGCTAGTTAACATTTTCTTTTTGTGTATCTGGTGAGAACACTTGAGCTCTACCCTCTTAGCAAGTTTCAAGCATACAATATAGTGTTTTTAACTATTCACAGTGAATATTTACTTTAGATCTCTAAAATTTGTTAATCTTGCATAACTGAAACTTTGCACCCCTTGACCAACATTTTCTCATTCTTCTCTCCCCCTACCCCTGGTAACCACCATTGTAATCTTTGCTTCTGTGAGTTTGACTGTTGTAGATTCCACATGTAAGTGAGAACACGCAGTATATGTCTTCCTCTGCATGCTTATTTTACTTAACATAATTTCCTTCAGGTCCATCCATGTTGTTGCAAATGGCAGCATTTCATTCCTTTTTTAAGACTGAGTAATATGTACAATACCTCATCTGTATATAAATACTTCACATATGCAAAATTATATATCTGTGTGTGTGTGTGTATATATATATATATATATATATATATATATATATATTTTTTTTTTTTTTTTGGTGGGGACAGAGTTTTGCTCTTGTTGCCCAGGCTGGAGTGCAATGGCACAATCTCAGCTCACTGCAACCTCCACCTCCTGAGTTCAAGCAATTCTCCTGCCTCAGCCTTCCAAGTAGCTGGGATTATAGGCACCCACCACCATGCCCAGCTAATTTTTGTATTTTTAGTAGAGATATGGTTTTACCACATTGGCCAGGCTGGTCTGGAACTCCTGACCTCAAGTGATCTGCCCTCCATGGCCTCCCAAAATGTTGGGATTACAGGCATGAGCCACTGCTCCCAGCATTCAGTGTTTATATATTTATTTTTCACATATTCTTTATCCATTTAGTTGCTTCCATATCTTAACCATTGTGAATCTCAAGTGAACATGGTAGTGCAGATATCTCTTTGAGATCCTGATTTCATTTTTTGGAGGGGTATGTATGCAGAAACACTGTTGCTGGATCATAAGGTAGTTCTATTTTTAATATTTGAGGAAGCTTTGTACTGTTTTCTATAATAACTGTACCAATTTACACTTCCATCAACAGTGTACAAAAGTTCTCTTTTCTTCACATCCTTTCCAACACCTTATCTTTTGACTTTCTGATAATAGCCATTCTAATAGGTGTGAGGAGATATCTCATTGTGTATCTCAAATGTATCTCATTTTGAGTTACATTTCCCTGATGAAAAGTTGAGCACTTATTCATATACTTATTGGCTATTTTTATGTCTTATTTGAAAAATGTCTATTCAGGTTCTTTGTCCATTTTAATTGAGTTATTTATTCTTATTATTATTTGATATTCAGCTATATAAGTTCCGTTTGTATTTTGGATATTATCCCCTTACCAGATACATGGTTTGCAAATATTTTCTCCCACTCTGTAGGTTGCCCTGTTGATTGTAACTTTTGCTATGCAGAGGCTTTTTAGTTTGATGTAGTCACGCTTGTCTATTTCTTGCTTTTGTTGCCTGTATTTTTGTTATCATATCCAAAAATCATTGCCCAGTTCAATGTCTAGAACCTTTTTTTTCTATATTTTCTTCTAGTAATTTTACATGTTCAGGTTTTACACTTAAGTCTTTAATCAATTTGGGGTTGTGTTTTGCATTGTATATAGTGTGAAGGGTCCTCCATGGTGAAGGCTTCTGGGGTCTTCCTGCTCTCCTCTTACCCCGCACAAAGAAGTCACAGTTGTGATGTGTCTTCTTGGCACCCAGAAGATGATGCAGACTAAATGCTTTCTACATTTTTCTGTGTGGCTTCTTTGGTCTTTGTGCTCTATTTGGTTGCTGCAGTTTCACTGTTGTATACACTGGAGCTCTTCCAGAGGGATTCCCATTGGTAGGGAGTTTGATCATTTTTATTGGGTACTGAGCATTAGGACCCCCTCTTCCACCATCTTGCTGACATCACTCATTCATTTGTAGAGCATGACATCCTTTCCACCTTTATAATTATTCTCCCTGCTACTCTTTTTTGAAATTATATTTCCAGTAAGATGAACATTGAGGTGAAAGAGGACATGGATCTCAGTTATGATTCCATCCACAGTGCCTAGAAAAATTGCCATCATATTGTAGAAGATGGATACTCTGTATACATATACTGAAATGACAGAAAATTCTATGCTCCCATAACTTTTTAAATCTACTTCTGAGTATATTTTATTACATCAATAGTAAAAATGAATCTTTGCTGAGTGCTTGCTATGTATCAGGCATTTAGCTGCTTTCTTTTTTTTTTTTTCTTTCTTTCTCCTTTTTTTTTTTGACAGAGTCTCACTCTGTTGCCCAGGCTGGAGTGCAGTGGTGCATCTCGGCCCATTGCAAGCTCCGCCTTCTGGGTTCTCGCCATTCTCCTGCCTCAGCCTCCCAAGTAGCTGGGACTACAGGCGCCTGCCACCATGCCCGGCTAATTTTTTATATTTTTTTAGTAGAGACGGGGTTTCACCGTGTTAGCCAGGATGGTCTTGATCTCCTGACCTCGTGATCCACACTCCTTGGCCTCCCAAAGTGCTGGGATTACAGGCGTCAGCCACCACGCCCGGCCAGCTAACTGCTTCCTATGCATGATCTCACTCAGTACTCACAATATTTCTATGAGTTAATTTGTCAGTCTATAAATGACAATAATAATTGTCTCTAAGGCTTTAAAAAATAAATATTTTATGTTCTCAAAAGTAGTGAAGTATTAAGCTGTTATTTTAACCCAGATAAACTGACAACAGGGGTTGTCAATTTAAGCTACTGTATAGCCCTAGCTTACATTTTACCTAAAACCTTATGAGAGATCCTTAGCTAGAACCATCCAGCAAAATCTCTTCCACATTCCAGAGCTCCAGAAACTAAATAAGATAATAAATATTTGCTGTTTTAAGCTCCTAAGTTTGCGGGTAATTTCTTACGTAGCAGTAGAGTATTTCAGTACCCACAACAAATGCTACGTGTACATATTTCGTGATTTTTTATCTATCTCCACAAAAACTGTCATTGTGCAAACTTCAAAAAACCTTAATAACTAATATAATTCCAAACCCAGTTTTTGACTTTGGGTTATCAGTCAATGAATCCAATATTATTACTTTTTTCTTCTCACCAATTTTTTTCTTACTTTCTTATTTAATTCTTTGTTTTCTTTTTTTTTCTTTCTTCTTTTTTTTTTTTTTTTTTTTTTTTGAGACGGAATCTCGCTCTGTCACAACCCAGGCTGGAGTGCAGTGGTGCGATCTCGGCTCACTGCAAGCTCCGCCTCCTGGGTTCACGCCATTCTTCTGCCTCAGCCCCCCAAGTAACTGGGACTACAGGCGCCTGCCACCACGCCTGGCTAATTTTTTGTTTTTTTAGTAGAGATGGGGTTTCACCATGTTAGCCGTGATGGTCTTCATCTCCTGACCTCGTGATCTGCCCGCCTCAGCTTCCCAAAGTGCTGGGATTACAGATGTGAGCCACCGCGCCTGGCCTATTTTTTCTTTCTTTACTTTTTTATGTAGAGAAAGAATGATTGGTTCTCAAACTCCTCAAAGTACCAAAACGTTCTGCTTTTATCCCAAACCACATGAAATTTTAAAATATAATAGCACCTTGATATGCTGCCTATTGTAAAAATGCAGTGGCCAGGACCAAGATGATGTTGACTTGCATTTGTTCATTAAGAACAAAAAATAAACCACTTTCATAATCTTATATGATTCACGTTGCAAAAAACAGTGCATCTTAAGGCATGGATGTTGATTTGTTCAGCTGTAGAAAACTGTAGGAAACAAATTATTAAAGAGGCTTGTATTATATATGACTTGATAACTGCTATTTTTTAAACATCTTGGTTAGATTACAAAGTTTTCTATTCATGTTGTCTGTGTGTAGAATGTTTTACAATCTAAAAATAAATAATGCCTTTAGGCTTGATTTTTTTTTTTTTATTTTTTAGGTAGATTTGCCGATATACCATTTTATAGGAATAATGAGAAGATAACAAAAATGTACATTGACAGATATTTCTTCTCTAAAATTGATCCCACATTGTTTAACTGATACAATGTTATTTCTTTTAAAAGTGGGAGGAATGAGGTTAATCTGCAGGGAATGAACGTAAGTTTTATCTGGGTTTCCACAATGACAGTTTTTGCAGAGATACATAAGAAAATCATAGAATATATAGTGGCACCATTTGTTGCAGGTATGGAAATAAGCTAGGTCTCTGCAAAAACTGTCATTGTGGAAACCCAGATAAAACTTACGTTATGTTGCATTTGGGTTCATGTCTTGTTTAGGAGCTCAGGATACGTTGTAAAGCAAATCTGTGTTTAAATCCCACTTTATGACAATGTAAAAGCTGTATTACCTCTAAGTCTTAGTTTTCTCAAAGGTTGAAATATGAACCATTATTAGCAAAGACTTGGAACCAACCCAAATGTCCATCAATGATAGACTGGATTAAGAAAATGTGGCACATATACACCATAGAATACTATGCAGCCATAAAAAAGGATGATTTCATTTCCTTTGTAGGGACATGGATGAAGCTGGAAACCATCATTCTCAACAAAGTATCACAAGCACAGAAAACCAAACACTGCATGTTCTCACTCATAGGTGGGAATTGAACAATGAGAACACTTGGACACACGATGGGGAACATCACACACCGGGGCCTGTCGTGGGATGGGGGGAGGGGGGAGGGTTAGCATTAGGAGATATACCTAATGTAAATGACGAGTTAATGGGTGCAGCACACCAACATGGCACATGTATACATATGTAACAAACCTGCACGTTGTGCACATGTACCCTAGAACTTAAAGTATAATAAAAAAAGAAGTATGAACCATTATTTTCTTCACTTTATAGTTGTTGAAAGGACTCAGTGAGATAATATTTTATAAAGTGTTAACTACTCTGCTTGATAACTAGGAAAGCACAAAATATGCATTCGTTTTCCTTAACTAAGAAATACCATGGGCATTATTTGATTTTGGAACTTTCCCCAAGTTACTTCATTTATTCATTCATTCATTCATTCTTTCATTCTCACTGAGCCTTTATTACATGAAATAAAATTAATCATCGGTTCCCCTAGTAAATGAGCTTATGGAGTCATGACTCTTTTCTTAATAACCTTTGGTTCCAGAACATCTCTTAGAGTTCCTGGTTTAACTACAATGATAAATGATCTGACAGATGTTTGGAGAGATTTCTATGAGCCCTCAAAAACAGAAGGCATTGATTCTATCTGATGGCTTGGCTTGGATACAGGGAAGAATGTCAGAAAAACATTCCAAAAAATATGACACTTAGATCTAAAGTAGACAGTGTGTGAAGCTCCACGGTGCTATGATTCCCACCTCTGATCAAGGGGCACTGTCTCTTTCTCTTTCTCTCTTTTTTTAAGAGACAGCGTCTTGTTCTGTTGCACAGGCTGGAATTCAGTGGTGCAATCATAGCTTATTGCAACCTCGAACCCCCGGGCTCAAGAAATCCTCCCACTTCAACCTTCTAAGTAGCTAGGACTGGAATACAACATGTGCCATCATACCTAACTAATTTTGTTTGTTTGTTTGTTTATTTTTTAGAGATAGGGTGTTGCTATTTTGTCCAGGCTGGTTTTAAACTTCTGGCTTCAAGAGATCCTCCCACCCTGGCCTCACAAAGCACTGGAATTATAGGCATGAGCCACTGTGCCTGGCCCCCATTCTCTCTTAATGAGGGTTGTGTATGTCTTAGAAAATGAGAACATGACACAGAGTGAAAGAGGCTCAAGGTTATTCTTTAGATTGTTGGTTTTAACTAAACACACATGTATAGCCAAAGATGAATTTATGTGAGGCCAAGGGTAATGGAGGAGGACAGCAATTCTCATTTATCATATTATACCTAGCATATTGTTAAATATAGATCTGTTAAACTCACTGATATGAACAGAGGAAGTGGATAAACTCAACCAGATTGCAGCAAGGGAGTGCACCCTAAATATTTCTCCAACGCTGTTTTGGGCCACCCGACTAATTTCAAACCCAAAAAATTTGTCTAATATTCAACATTTGTCTATCATGTAATTGTAAATATATGTTGCTGTGAGTATTCAACATATGAGTTTAGGTTATCATTTGAAAATTAAACTAGTAAAGTCATTACATTTATGAAAAAATGGTTAACAAAAATGATTTCCAGTGTTAATCAGTAAATGTAAAACTATCTTAAAGTCATTCCGGTCAGCGTAGTCTTCCCAGAAAGGAGACAGTGAAAGGTCATTATTAAGAAACCTACCTAGATGTTTCCCAATATATTTATTTTCCGTAAAACCCTTGCACAATTGATAAGTCTTGTGTCAATTTTAATAACAGCACTACTTATTGTGAGGGAAATAAAGGCGCTTCCTCAGGGCTGTTGATTAGGTTTTGAGATCAAATCTATTTGATTTATTCATATATGATAGCTAAGTCTACAAGAAAACATCCTCTTCTAGTCATATTCTTTGAGTCTCTCTCCTGATTTCTCCCTCCTCAAATATCTTTGTGTTCTCATCATTAAAAGGAAGACAAAGAAAGGAGAGGGGAAAAAACTCACAGCATAAGTGTTATGCCTCCTTCCTTACTCCATTGATGCTGATGAGATAGGACAACCAATTATTCCTGGACACACTATGATTGTTTGGAAAAAAAAAAAAAGTAGAGAGGATTGCATGCTGACTACCCAGCTACCCAGGATGTCAATCAGTAGAATTAACTTGAGGGTCCAAGGCCATTTTTATTGTGACAGCCACCAATAAAATCCTCTTCTCCATCAAAACCCTTTGACACAAAATTAGCTGTTGTATTTGATGGCTAAAATTTTAAAAAGATGAAAACATACAAATTGGAAACCAGAAAATAGTATTGCTTTCCAATTAGTGTTTTTCAAAGTATAGTTCAAGGTCAATCTGCTCCAGAATCGATCTGAGTGCTCTGTAAAAATACAGATTCCCATTGTCATCACAAAATACTCTGCTTCAGAAGATATGAAATATCTTCCAGAAATTTAAATTTTTCAAGTTCCTGGGATAATTGTTAACCACATGAAAGCATAAGAACCACGATCATAGAGAGAAAAGTGTATCTGGAAATCAAAATTAGAGGAAGACCCTCTAGCAAACTGGGACTTGGCTGAATGCTGTACTTTATTTATTAATGGATTATCATCCATTAATATTGTGTTTATTCTGAGATTGAATGAACATAGAATTCTATAGTGGCTGGGAAAATACACTCTCTTTTGAACTTGCACATAAAAATCTGAAGCCAAGTTGGTATTTGACCATACCACAGGCCATAGCTGGGTGTCTGCAGTCTGAGAGAAGCTCCAGTAAAACTCTACACAAAATATTTGATAAAATTTTATTAAAGTGTAACTGAGATTAGTGTGTTTTCTGCACACAAAGACACAGAAGTGAGGTTATTCAAGCTTTTGACTAAATCTTAAAGGTCAAAAGCCACTTCCCTGTTTAAATGAATGCAATTTTCTTCAGCAATTCTCTATCGTCTTTCAGATGATGCGTTTGTTCCACATTATCATTTCACTCAGAAATCACCCTTCCCACTGAAGAATTTGGAAACAACACCCTGTGAACATGCATCAGATATAGCTTTTATCCACCTGCTATGATTAATTTTTCTGTTTTTTAATATGTTACTTCACACAAAAGTTTGGGGGTCTAGGATATAGTATTTTCTTTTCAAGATGTAGAGAAACAAGAAAACCTCAAGCTCTCTTTTCAGCCCTAGAAAAAAAGCACAGCTCAGAATAATCATTCATTGTTTTATAAAGGAAAAGTATTTGATAGTGTCTGAGGAATACAGAGTGCCAGACTGAAAATGAGGCTGCAAAGGAAATGGGATGAGAAATAGGTTTGTTTTTGGTCACCCAGAAGCAAAACCTATCACACACATCTATACAAACATACCTAAAACCTAGCAGCTCTTTCATACTGATTCCTGACATCAAAACAAAATAAAGATGGAACTTCAGGGGAATAAGACAAAGAGAAAGAGTGGAAATGAAGCTGCCAAGAAAAACAGAACTGATTTTGCAAAGGTCAGTGCAATATAGGATTAGTTTGGACTAAGCCCATACTCCAGTGTAATTTGCAATATATTTCAACACTTCAGAACAAGTATTTCTAGCTACTTTTAATACCAGCTCTGAGCCATGACTATCTAAATAGACATGGGGCATTAAAGTTCACAGGGCTTGATACTGCCTGTAAAAATGGAGCCCAGCAGAATTTGATTTTATTAGGCCCATAGCCAATGGCGATTAAAGTGTTATGCCATATCTGTCAGCATGCATGGATGCATGGGGATTATTTGTAACAGAATTTAAGTCTGGGAGCCAAATTCTTCAGCCATAAGTCTAGAATACTAATTCTTTCTTTTTCATCCCCTCTAACAGACCTATGGCCCTCACAATATCATCGCAGGAACTGGGACAAGAATTCAGACTTTTTCATCTAAAACAATAGGGCTTTATTAACAATTAAAGGGTCAAACCTGCACAGGTAGGGCCAGGGGATTGCGTGGATATTTGTTGTTTCATTGTCCTTTCACAATCTAATTTTCTTTTTCTAATACTACCCCAGTTTCCCTTTGGGGAACCACTATATTGGATCTAATTTTGGTGGGAGGTGTTTTCAATGTTCCACTTAAAAATCTCAAGATGTCACGCTCTCACTGAAATGGTATATGGGCATCCAGGGGTGGGGGCATATGTCCATGATCAGCACTTTGAATAAAGTTTTTTAGGACGTTGAATCTTGAGGGAAAAAAAAAAGAGAGAGAGAGAGAGTTTGGAGTTTGAAGTTCTTATTCATTTCAGTGGCTGCAGAAGCTTGGAGCAGAAAGTCCTTCTACCTGAGTTTTGAGGCTGTTACTGCTGCCTGTATCCTGAAGTTGCTGTATTACTAACCTATTGTATTGGCCTGTTCCTTCAGCTTTGTTTTGTCTCTTCAACTATTTCTCAGCACAAAACTGATAGTTGTCTCCCTGAATTATGATTCTCATGCTTGCCTCTGTTCTGATGTGGTATCCCAAGCTCCTACCAAGTCCATTATTGAAACAGACTTTGGAAGAGCATTCATAATTTACACAATACCTAGCTTAGCCCATTTACTCCTCTTGCCATCAATCTTGACTCTTATTTTGTCTGGACAAGTTGAACATCTGCTTATCTCTAACGTGTTGGCCTTCATTGATTTGAGTCTGCCTCAGTTAGGATTCCATTTGGCAGCAAGTAAACACAAAACTCTACTACAATCCCTTAAATAAGGAATTTATTTATTGCGTGTGACAAAAAATCCTAGAGTGAAAAGTCTAGAGCTGATATGGTGCTGCAATGATGTCAACAAGAGCTATGTTCCTTCTATTTTCTTTACATCCTTAGTGTGTATCTTTCTTTCCAGTACTTCCTGGTTGCCTGACATCCCATCAGGAACCCTGCTCATTTTCAGTGTAGAAAGTGAGGGAAAAAAAAGGGGCTCCCAGTAAATTAAAGAGAGAAGGAATTTTAACCTGGGAACATTACTGTCTTGATAAAATGAAAGTTTAAATAAGTTCAAAGATAATGATGAGTGTGTCCCCTACAGATTCCGATTGGTAGTTCTAAAACACCGATCAATTTCACCAGTGAAACCCTACACATTCTACTTATGAAGTGACAGTCTTGTAAGGAATCTTCCCCTAGCATATTCCTGATGCCCCATTCTTCAACACCCATAGTCCCCAACCCCACTCACCACACTTCCTGCCAGAAACACTTCTGATTTTCATTCTCACAGTGACTATTCAATAGGCACAAGCAATAGATCAGCCATTGTCGTGACCAGATGCTGAATAGCTTTTAGCTTGTGTCACACACAGAATCTTTGAGTAGCCTGCTAATATTTCTAGTAACAATTCAATTGTTATATATTTTATGTGGTTCAGGCAGTTTCCTGCAATGTTAAGTGCCTGGGCTTCAGAATTCAATAGATCTATTTTGAATTCAAGACAGAGCTAAGTGAAGCATCAATTATTGATCTTCCTCAAGGCACCATTTCTGCATCTGTAAAATGGGCAAATGGTTTCTACCATCAAGGGACTTTGTCAGATATAAACATACTATGGCATGTGAAGTATCTATACAATGCTGAACACAGATTGGGTTCTAAATATACGCTCGATTATACCCTCTACTGTATACATACACCAAATCATCATGTTCTACACCTTGAATATATACAATCTTTATTTGTCAATTAGAAATTGCTGAATAAATTTTTGAAAAGAGTGAACAACTTCCTCCGAGTCATGTGGTGAATCATATATGCAGAGGCTTTCATCTGGTTAAATTCTACTAAGGTATAAATATTTAAATCTTCCATCATAGTCCACAGAAAGCATTTCTTGGCTTCCTGTGGAGCCATTTGTGTCTGCACTTGAAAATAAGTCTTTGTATTTCTGTCTCCAGAAGAAGATTTTGAGCCTTGTACAGACTCATTATTTACCTACAGCATTTAACATAATGCCTGGTATTAATACATTGTGGCTATTTCATGAATGCCTGTTTGACTGAACATAAACATTTTATTCACAAATCTTTTGCCAATAACAACACATTAAACCTCAGTTTATTCATTTATAAATGAAGAAAATAAGAAAAAAAAGTCTTATTGTTGAGGAGACTAAATAAAACTGCATGTAAAATCTGAAGTACAGTATTTGGAACTCAATTAATTGGTGCTTTCTCTTACCTTTAATTTTAAAGCCAATAAAATAAATTTATTAAATTAATACATTTGCTTTAACTGTTTAACGGTCTTACATGCTAAAGCCTATAACTTATAAAATAAATTCACTGACCAATGTGTATGGCTCTAAAATATTTGGCACTAATGACATGAATACTTGCATAGAAGTCACAGAGAAGATCACAAATACTTAAAACAGGTCTTCCATTAAGTCTGTAAAGCTCTGCACATCAAACAGCTTGACCACTGATAGGTCCATCCGTTCTTGGAAAAGTTCACAAGAACTAAAATTCAGTGGATACAGAAAGGTGAACCCCATTAAATTGTAGCTCCATTTTAAGAATTAAAAATTTTAAAAGTAACTCAGAAATACACCTTAACAAATATTCAAGATGTTTCAAATGCTTCATGTCTCCTCTAAATTTTAAGATAAAAAATATTGGAACTTATTAATTCCTCAGATCTTATTCCAAATATAAGTAATTAATTCAGTTAAGTTTATTTGGTCCATTCCTTTTATCTTTCAAGGTTTTGGAAAAAATTTCCCTCTGGCTTGTATGATAATAAAGTCAGCAGGTCATGTGGTTTGGGCAAATTCTGATTATTTTCCACTTTAAAATATTGATATCCTTTAACGCAATAATTTTATATCTAAGAATTATTCTAAGATGAATATCAGAGAACCATACACAGATTTAAATTTGAAAATTTCCTTCATAAATGCATTTGGTCGTATCCTTTCTTCCACTACAATATATACATTGTATTTGGAGAATCATTAGGTAATTTACAGTGAGATCACAAATTAATCATTGTGCAAGCATTTATATTTATATTTGTAATTATTATTTTTATGACTTGGAGAAGTGTTTATATAAGTAAAAAAAAGTAACAAAAATATTATGTAGTTCAGTTATACTGCATATGCCATTTTGATTGTATAGAAAAAATATTATATGGACACATTCTATAATGTTGACAGTGATCATAATTGGTTAGTTCAAAGGATTATGATTGGCTGGGCATGGTGGTTCATGCCTGTAATCCCAGCACTCTGGGAAGCCAAGGTAGGCATATCACCTGAGGTCAGGAATTTGAGACCAGCCTGGCCAACATGGTGAAACCCCATCTCTACCAAAAATACAAAAAAAAAAAAAAAAATTACCGGGTGTGGTATGCCTGTAGTCACAGCTAGCTACTCTGGAGGCTGAGGCAGGAGAATAGCATGAACCCAGGAGGCAGAGGTTGCAGAGCCGAGATCGAGCCGCTGCACTCCAGCCTGGGTGACAGAGCGAGGCTCCATCTCAGAAAAAAAAAAAGGGATTATAGTTGATATTAATTTGTATATGCATTTTGTATTTTGTACAATGGGCATGTGTTACTTTTTTAATAAGAAAAACATTTTCAACTATTTCACTAATCAGTTAGTTAACCCTCTGATATGCTACATATTTCATATTAAAATATGGCGGTGAACATATTAATTTTTTTCATAAAGGCCTTTTAGAGAATATAGAGTGCTAAAAATAGAGAGGAGCTTCCGAATTACAGACTGATGAAAGTTCAAGTGATGGAAGAAGCTCAAACCAACTCTAGATGGACTATGACTTAGATACATATCCCATTACTATTTTCCCCAACTAGATTTGCAGAAAGATTTTGATCCCTTGGTCTTGCCATGATTATGTATAAGATAAACCATACATGTTTTTATTACTATAATAAAGATTATTTACTAGGATGTGTAGATTTTACACATAACAGTACCAGAGATTGCTGTTTGTGGAAAGCAATTGCTATTTTTATATCAATACTGAAGCAGTGCCTAACCTGCAGAGCTCTTTAATTGCTAGTGAGTTTTTTACAACCCTTCCTCCAATGCAAGGTCTGGATTTCATTTTCATGCTGGAGTTTTGTTGTTCAATCTCAAGTGGCCTTTTGCCATGGCCATTACTTTCCACTTTTACTCATCTCTCTATTTCTGATTTTATTCCTTCTGGACTTGATTTCTTGCTGCTCCTGACACCTGCTCCAGCCTGATAAACTGACAGCTCCAATTGTAAATCTTGCCCCGATGCTTTCTTTTCCCCAGGATGGAAAATAGCGTGTTCCAATGGGTTATAACACTTTAGCAAACATCAGGAATCCTGTCCCTTTCACTTTGGGACTCTATTGTTTAAAAAGAGACATGCTGCTCCTTCTGTCTGGTAAGCCTTGCACCGTCGCCCCTGCCCCCTCTCAGCTGCCAACTTTTAGCTCTCCAACACTCAATTCAGATGACTTCTCCCAAGGCAACTGCCTGGACACCCTCCTGGATAATATTCCTACACCTGTGCAAAGGCCAGGTTATGTGGTCTGCTCTATGTTCTCATTGTTCTCTCTGCTGTTTTCCATCAGAAGACCACCCTGGCTATAAGTACTTGTCATTATTTGTCTGCTGTGCAGTGTTTCTCATGCTTAACATCTTTTTTCTTTTTCTCTGCTTCATACGCAGCAAATAACACAATACGTATTTTTTGAGTTAATGGTCAATGAATGAAATAAGCCTCGTAGGCAAAGAAAAAGGGAAACTGACCCCAGGAGATTTACACTTAGAACAAGGACTCAAATCTGATAAAGCAGACTCTAATTCTGAATACTAAAAAAAGCAGGCATGCAAATGAAATGTCTAAAAGTGTGTCTGTGTGTATGCAGATCCCTGTACACTTCCTGTACACAGTGGCATCCTCCTTGGCAGAAGCACCTGCATTGGACTCTGACATTGCCCATGAATATTCTGATTATAAAATCCCAGCTTTTAGGAACCAGATGTCCTTAGCAGATTTTACTCAATTTAAGTTTTTGATTTAGTTCTCTTTTGAAAGTTTGAGTGCTGAATTATCATGGATATTTCTAGCCGGGGGTATTCAAGGTCTATAATTTATTTGGGGATGAAGCACACCGTTTGGTATAGAGAGTAGGTATTTGATTCTAAGTTTTATAAAACACTGTTACCTGTTTCTTTACTCCCCTCTTTTTCCCTAATGATCAATATGACATGTTTTTCCTTTTTTCTTCTTGCCACACAATTCCTTTTTCCCCCTGAAAACTGACAAGGTTTCTCTTCAATAACATGCACGTGGCAGGCCCATATTTTAACATGTTTTCTGCAGTAAACAGCCCCGGGATAGCTATAACTAGGACTCCTTTCCTAGGTTGTAATGCAGATGAGATTTTCATTTTGCATATACATCACTAAAAATAAATATGTTTTTTTATTATAATAGAATTAACACAAGCTTATTAAATACAATTGGCAATACAGAGAATACTAGGAGTAATTCAAACATATACCCTCATAGCCCCACAATACAAATTCAATTATTAATATTTTGAAGTTATTTATTTTCAGTGACTTTGCTCTATGCAGCTTTATATCCTTAAGATTATATTATACGTAACAACTGAAATTTATTTTACTTAACATTCCATCCTGCTTGGGTTCAATTTCCAACTTGGCTGCTTGCTAACTGAATGAATTTATTAATTTGCTTAAGTTCTATGACCTGCCTTTGACTCTGCTTCCTCATCTGTAAAATAGGAATCAAAATGACTACCTCGTAGGTATTTAAATGGTCTATGAGATAAGTAAAACATTTACAATAGACTTTTTACAGGAAAAATAATGGCAATGATGATGATGATAATAATAATAATTGTTAATGCTTTTTAAGTGCCAGACACTGCTTTAGATCATTTTTTTTCTCCTTGGGAGATGGAAGATAGTTCGATGTTATGTGAGGATTGCTGACGTCCAGGAAAGTAAAATCTGGTTTTGGTATTGCTGCTTTGAGCTGCCTGACTTAGATCAAGTCACTTTACCAATTTTGACATTATTTTCCACAACATTTTAATAAGAGTGTAGAAAAGATGATAGCTAATAACCTTCCCTGCTCTATGCCCAAACAAATATGTCAACTCTTAATCACGAGAGTTCCTGTAAATTATGCCCCAAAGAGGAAAGACAGAAGAGAGAGAAGAGATAATGATGTTTCAGCAGGCATATAAATTTGTGTTGGGTGATCCAGGCACGGTGGCTCACCCTCATAACCTCTGCACTTTGGGAGGCCGAGCCAGGAGGACCGCTTGAGGTCAGGAGTTAGAAACCAGTCTGGCCAACATGGCGGAACTCCATCTCTGCTAAAAATACAAAAATTAGCCGGACATGGTGGCGGGCGCCTGTAATCCCAGCTATTCGGGTGGCTAAGGCAGGAGAATCGCTTGAACCTGGGAGGCAGAGGTTGCAGTGAGCCAAGAGCACACCACCACACTCCAGCCTGGGCAACAGACTGTCTCAAAGTGCTAGGTGAAAGAGGCATTCGTTCTAAAAATTCTTGTTTAATGTTTCTTGCTTTGTTAGGAGTTTAATTCCAGATCATCACTCTGATATAACATTATTTGAAACCAAATATTTATTTTAAATGTGTGTTTACCTCCCCAGCTTTCTCACTTTAGAGTAGTATATTGTTGGTCTTCTTTTTTTTAAAACAAATTATAAACAAATACTTGATGTTTTATTTAAAGGAATCTGTTACATTTCAGAAGAACCACTTGCTCTAGAGGGAAGAAAGGCATCATAGTCAAATAGTGGGGGAAAGGAATTAAATTAGTGTGGGAAAAAAAAACGGCAGAAATTCTGTACATAAGACAGATTTAGCGGCAAGAGAAAGACACAAAATAAAGGAAAAAAAAAAAACCCACAGACTGAAGCTTTAGTATATTTACAGTTATGTTTCCATAAAAAGGGAGGTGGCCAGGATCACAAAGGAAGGTACATCAAGCAGCATTGAGGGATCTGATTTGGTACATGTGGTAATGTAACAGCTCAGTCAACTCAGTCACACCCCAAAGTCTACTCCATACAGATGAACAAATGATTGAGAAGGAAGTAAAGCTCATCACAGCAGGACTCATGCACTCCCTTGGTTCCTTCGTGAATCCAGATTTCAGAGGTCTCTCGGAAAGTGTTTCAGCAGCCAGCAGTGAAGCTCAGAAGAAAAAATGGTTTTTTTCTCATTACAAAAGAGTTAATCTGAGTTTTTGTGCTTTGCAAGTCTTTTACTTCTTTTGATGACCCTTATCACGTTGTTTGAAGAAATTCCAGAAACTTCCATCTACCTTACTGGCGTAATGTCCGGCAGCAAACCCCTTGGATCCTGTGACTTGGAAAATGGGCATCTCCCGTGCCTCGTTTCCTGTGTAAACTCTTCTAAAAGCTGTAAAATATTGGTTCTTGCAATTTAGACTATGCTACTAGTTCTTACTAGCACAGCCAAGTTTACTTTATGAAGTTGGGTTTATTTGTTCCCAATATAAATAAAACACAGATCAAATTATTCAGTACCCATCGTCTCTCTTTTCCCCTAATATATCACGAAAATATATCAAGTATACAGAAAGAGGCACAAAATGTATCCCTCACAATAATTTTGCAAGATAAATACATTCATGCAAGCAACTGAATTTAAAAAGGCACATTGCCAGAACTGCAGAATCCACTCTCCCACCCAAATGTCCATCACTGTCATTAGTATCCCAAGACTATTGCAACTAAAACACACAGATTATTTCTTCCTGTTTTTTAAATATATATATATATATAAATGAAACTACACAACACATTTTTGTGTATGTTCCTGTGTGTGTGGCTTATTTTGCTTAACATCATTAAGACTAAGAAATGCATTATTGTTGTGTACAGTTGAAGTTCAATTATTCTCATTAGATTGTTTAAATATACCTTTATTAATTTATCTATCCTACTGTTTATATATTGCCAGTTTTGAGCTTTAATGAATATTGCTTATGTGTGCCTTTTTCTTATATATAAAATTTTTAAATGTTTACTTTAGGGATTATATATGCACATTTTTGTTGGAAATTTGCTAGAAGTACACTTCTTGCTTGGTTATGTGGATATATACTTATGTCCAACTTTATTACCAATTGCCAGCTTTCCAATAGTAATATCCCCATTTAAATTATAACTACTATTTTATGAGTATTCCAGTTCTATACTTTCTTGTCAATACTTGGTATTGTCCTTTCTTTTTTCATTTGTATCTACTTAAATGTTAGTAAAATTAAAGACATTTTAAAATAGAGTTAATATAATAAAGCTCTTATTTTTTTCAGGTAAGAACGTGATTACGTACATAAAAACATTCAAAAGAACCCATAGTGGAATGATCAGAAGTCAGTTCAACAAGGTTGATAGATACAAGGTCAACCAAAAACAAACAATTGGAAAATAAATTTTAAAAACAGAATTTACTATAGCATTCAAAATATTAACTACCTCAGAATATATCTAACAAAAGCAAGCAAGATATCTAAGTAGCAACAAATAAAACAGTATTGAGAAAACTTTTTTAAAAACTAAATAAATGTGTGGATAGCAGTAATAGTTGCACAATAATGTAAGTGCAATTAATGTCATTAAACTATATACTTAAAAATAAAGAATTTTTTAAAAATAAAGACACACAACATGTCTTTCCTAAAATCCAGTAGTCTCAAAATTGCAATTACCATCAAATCTCAATCAAATCTAAACAGATTTTTTGGATCAGTGGTTCTACAATGTACAAAGAAATGCAAAGGCCAAGAATAAAGCAAATTAGGAGAACTTAAACTACTGAATATTAAGATCTACTAAATAAAAAGGCATGATGGTATTTAGAATATTTATGATAACACAATAATTGGGTCACTATAACATAGGTACAAAAATAGAGAAGTAGGCCAGGCATGATGGCTCATGCCTGTAATCCCAGCATTTTGGAAGGCCAAGGTGGGCAGATCACTTGAAGCCAGGAGTTCAAGACCAGCCTGGCCAACATGGCAAAACCCCATCTCTGCTACAAATACAAAATATTAGCTATGCGTGGTGGCATGCACCTGTAATCCTAGATACTCGGGAGGCTGAGACAGAATTGCTTGACCCTGGGAGGCAGAGGTTGCAGTGAGTTGAGATTGCACCACTGCACTGCCGCCTGGGTGACAGAGTGAGACTCTGTCTCAAAAAATAAAAAATAATAAAAATAGAGAAGTAGATGCATAAAATTTTTAGAGAATACAAGCTCAGAGCCTCACATATGTGGACATTTGACTCTGAAATATTTGAATTTAGTTGATATTGATATAATTTTTTGCAAACATTAATTGTATAGGTAACTAATAAAAAGTAAATTTAGTAAATACCTAGCAACGAGAAATATATGGTTTCTCATGACTCATGGCAATGTGATTTGAGAAAAAGTATCCATAAAGGTTTTATTTAAATAATGTTCTATAAAGTAGAAAATCTATTGAATTAGAAATAAATATACTTGATTTGTCCTATTTTGGAAAATGGTCTGCTATTTGGGTGAATGAGAATTTCTCTGGAATTCTGTAAATGATTACTTATGTGAAGTGGTGGATATTAAATAGATCATTTCTAAAGGCTCCACCAGTTTCAAGGAGCCATGACTAATGATTTCCTTGGAAAAGTGAATTTAGATGCTGTCAAAAAAAATTGGCCTCATAAAGATTGTATGGATATGCAAAGTGTACATAAATTACTGCCAGATAATTATATTGGATTGGAAAATAAAGGAGTTAAAGATCTTAGAGTACAATAATCAAGTCCAGCTATGAACTCACTGTGGACAGAAATCATGCAACGTTGTGTTGCCATGAACAAGAAACATACCTGCCACAAATTGGTGTTCAATTACTATTTACAAATGAATTAATTTAATCTAGTCTAACCACTCAGCTATAGCCTTTCTCACATGTAGTTTTCTTTCTCAATAACAATGATCAAAGAGAAGTTTGAGAGCCAAGGCACAGAAATGCATCCCTGAACTTAAAAATCATGTAGTTAGTGAAGATGCAGTTAATTCATATCATGTATATCAGCACTCAGATTTGTCTTTCATGTTTGTACTTAAAAGTAGATCCTCTTGAAGAAAACTTAGTTTCAATATAGAATTGCTCCATTAAGAAAAGGTACACTATATTTGCATTGGAGTTATATTTCCAACGTGCAAAAAATCAGCTTGTGTCTATATTTTTTTATTTGACTTTTAGTGGTTCAAAATTCTTTATTTTTTTTTTATTGACAGGCACTCCTGTTCTATCAGTATGATTAGAGCTCCTAAGGATGCTATTGAAGATATCTTTGCAGGGACTGAATTTTAAGGCCTTGCCTATACGGGTAGCATGGGATAATATGCTATGTGTGACTCGCCTTCTACCACGGTGGAAAAAGGTAAATGAGTCTTCTTCAAGTAACTGTCAGAAGGAACCACAGAGTATTTTTTATTGTTGTTGTTATTTTATATTTTTCCATCACATGCTGAAAATAAATTTTACAAATTCAATCTTTGTTCATTTAAATGTATCTCAAATGATTACTTATCCCATAGGAACATAAAGATTACGTTAAAAAAAGTTGGAAAAGACAAAAAACAAATTCAAAAAGTCATATGAATAATATAACTACATCTGTGTTTTATCAATAAAACTTAATGAGGCAGAAATTGTATTTTTTCCCAGAGGCACTGAAACTAGTATACTCATAATGCTATTATTGTATTCCTGGTGTCACGAATGAGGTTAAAAACTATATCTATAGCATTATTCCCAGCATCCAGAATACTAATGCATCAGCAGGGGGTTATCTCTTCTGGGCTGCAAGTATTGAATCTGGGAAAATGAGAAGAATGTGGGATAATTAATCTAATTCAGACACCTGAAAACTCCAAAAAACTAAACATTACCTAAGCAAGCAAACTTTTTCTCTTCCTAGAGAAGTGTAGTCTGTTCTTTAAGGCTGATAAAGCAGGCTATTAGATCTAGAGCACATGTCTGCATGTCTCAAATTGGTTCAAGAACAACCTATATTGGAATCGCCTGAATGCTAATTAAAATCCAGAATCTCTGGCCATGGCCCTGAAAGTAGTAACTCAGAATCTCTGGGAAAACGACCCAGATATTTGCAATTTTCTCTGGTGATTTTGCTATACACTAAAGAAAGTAAAATATTCCTCTATACCGGTGGTTCTCAAACTTTACTTGAGTTACCTGGAAGGCTTGTTAAAATATAGCTTGCTAGTCTCACCTCAGACTTTCCGATGTATCCTGTCTTGGGTGGGGCTGGGAAATTGGCATTTCTTTTTTTTTTTTTTTTTTTTGAGACGGAGTCCCACTCTGTCGCCCAGGCTGGAGTGCAGTGGCGCGATCTCGGCTCACTGCAAGCTCCGCCTCCCGGGTTCACGCCATTCTCCTGCCTCAGCCTCCCGAGTAGCTGGGACTACAGGAGCCTGCCACCACGCCCGGCTAATTTTTTGTATTTTGTTTAGTAGAGACGGGGTTTCACCGTGTTAGCCAGGATGGTCTCGTTTTCCTGACCTAGTGATCCGCCCGCCTCGGCCTCCCAAAGTGCTGGGATTACAGGCATGAGCCACCGCGCCCGGCTCGGAAATTGGCATTTCTAAAAAATTTAATTTTCAGCATCAGGTAAGGCTGATGCTACTAGCTAAAGAAAGAATTCACCTGAAATTTTGTTAAAATAAAGATTTCTGGGCCCTAACTCCAAATATTTTGATTCAGTAGGCCTGGAGTGGGGCTTGATGTTTTTCATTCCTGACAAGTTTCCAAACAATGACCTCAGCTGCTCGTCTGAGGATCACACTTTGAGGAGAACCAATTTAAACTATCCTAAATCCTGTTAAGCATTTGAACTATACGATTGCATCAATTACTTTTCCCCTGATTTCTCCAAAAGTTTCCAGATCACCAAATAAGATGAAAAATATTAAGATAAAAAACTTGTTTTTCTATTTTGGCAGATGAGTAATGAACAAATTGCACTCTGAGGCCGGGCGTGGTGGCTCACACCTGTAATCCCAGCACTTTGGGAGGCCAAGGCAGGCGGATCACCTGAGGTCAGGAGTTCGAGACCAGCCTCAACTTGGAGAAACCTCATCTCTACTAAAATTACAAAATTAGCTGGGTGTGGTGGTGCATGCCTGTAATCCCAGCTACTCAGGAGGCTGAGACAGGAGAATTGCTTGAATCTGGGAGGCGGAGGTTGCAGTAAGCCGAGATCGTGGCATTGCACTCCAACCTAGGCAACAAGAGAGAAACTCCATCTCAAAAAAATAAATAAATAAAAATAAACAAATTGCACTTTGAAGGGCAATGCTTACAACTTTGGTTTGTCATCCTAGAAGCCCCTTCGTCATAAAATCAAAGAAACTTAATCTCTTCCAACTCCTTCCTGTTTAGCTACCAATCCTAGAGTCTAACTCTAATTGACGAGAGAGGCCACACACTTTTAAATAATCAGATCTCGTGAGAACGCACCCACTATCATGAGAACAGCACCAAGTGGATGGTGCTAAACCATCCATGAGATATCTGCCCCCATGACCCAGTCACCTCCCACCAGGCCCCACTTCCAACACTGGGGATTACAGTTCAACAAGAGATTTGGGCAGGGACAAATATACAAACCATATCAGTTATCAGAGATTAAGCTTTGTCTGGGTGTGATATGGGAGACTGACCCGCAGGATGCATAATGAGGGCTGGTAAATTTACAACAAAACAAATCAATATACAATATATTCAAATGACGACTGCTGCTACTAAGAGACAAATGTCTCACTAAAAATTGTATAATTCACTATAAATAGACCAATATTTCATTTTGTTGAGGATCTTTTCTGTTGCATTTATTTAAAACAATGATAATATCAAATCAAAAGCAAATAATATATAACTAAGAGACATTTTGAGAGAAAGAATATTTCACAAATCAAGTAGTTTACAACATTAGTCACAGAAAGGCAATCTGAGATTTGCTCCCAGATGTTTCTTGCTCAAATATAAAAGCTGGTCAATAATGCAAAATGAAAGCAAATAATATATTATATAATGAATATATTATTTTTAGAATTTTAGCAAATAAAACAATAAAATAATAAAAGTTTAAGTGTCATTGAAGATGATATATCATCTATGTGGAAGTGCAATGTGTGTGTATACACATGTATTATATGTATCGTATACATCTTGTATCATTAGTATTTTCTTTTCTTTTTTTACAGAGATAGGAGTCTCACTCTGTCACCCTGGCTACAGTGCAATGGTGCCATCATGGCTCACTGCGGCCTCAAAATTCTTGGTTCCAGCTATCCTTCTGCTTCAGCTTCTTGCATAACTGGGACAACAGATGCACACCACCAAGCCCAATCTATTTCTTTCACCCTCTTGGTCACTCTCCAGCACATTAAACACACACTGTTAGAATCATCTAGTTGTCAATACTTTAAACACTGTTTTTATTTCTATGTTCAGTCATTGCATGAGGATTAAACCTGCAGTTGGCTTAAGGTGTTTGTTTGTTTGTTTGTTTGTTTGTTTGTTTACATGGTTTAGGAAATTTGCCACCGACCAAAATAAATTTTGAAATCTTTGGTTATGCCACTTCTCAAAACTGAGCTAATATGATTCTGATAACTAATAAATAATATTTTTGTATCTTTTTCTAGAGGTTTTCAACTTATAGAGAATGTCTTAACACCCTCTCTTCCCTCTAAACACCCATGACAGGCATGAAAATACAGCTCTGGTTTTATAATGGAGCTCAATGAGAAGAATAAGTAGATACAAACACATTTATGCAAACTAAAAGATAATTAAACATATTTTGTGATAGGTTAACCTAGTTTTAGTCATAAACAAACAGGGAAGAAAATTTTTCCTATGAGTTACAATTCAAAATTTCATTAAACTGTCAGAACAACTTTCAAGATATCTATTTTATAAATAAAAATGGCAGAGTAATATTTGGATCATCCGGTAGCTTACAGGAATTATGACTGGTCTTTAATGCATGTCATCTAATTGCCTTTTCAGAATGAAAATGCACCTCTGAAAGGCTGAAGTAACTCTATTTCTTAATTTGAAAAAATTTTCACTTCAAAGTTTCTGAAGAGTATCAAAGGAGCTACTTCTTGGAAAGTGATGGGCACTGTTACTGACATATAAGAATTATTCAGTACATGCTTGTTAATGGTATTATGTTAATAAGACTCTTGCTCTTTTCTCCTCTCTTTCTCTCTCTCATATATATATATATACACACATATATACATATATACATATACATATATATGTATATGTATATATGGTGATACGTATATATGTATATGTATATGTATATATGGTGATTAAAGGTGATATATGGCTTTGGATATATGGGCTTTGGATATATGGGCTTTGGAAAGGTATTTCTGAAAAGATATAGGTATGGACATTTACATTCTTTGCATAAAATATGGCATTGATATCAGTAATTATCCTATGTCCATCTCTAAACGGTTTTCAGATGATACTTTCCTTGTCATAGTTGATATAAATGTGTATCTATGGGATGAATGGGATAAGTTTAAAACTGCTCCACAAACTTCTAGACACATACTGGTGTGCTGGCAAACATATTTACAGGCCTGGAATACATATGTTAAAACAAACATTACTGATGTTTTTGATTACCTGAATTCAAGTAAACATTGAGATGTATAAAATAGATACTAAGATGTTTCCATTTTATTGCCAATTTTCTATATTAACATGAAATGTCACTGGTTTTCAGGCAACTATTACATTTATGGAATCTTTTTCTGAAATGCATCATAAATCTTCTAAGGACTGAATAAACTGAAAAAGAAAAAAAAAGCAATTATGAAACCTGGTGACCAAAGATGTGTTTTCAAATGCCAATAGTCAGAGATAAAATTTTAGGAGATTATAATATTATTGATTAGTTGCTTTGAGATAATATTCTCTTATGTCAATAGCAATAAAAGATGGGTGAAGAATGATTAGATACTCCACGACAGGAGACTGTCTTGGGAAATATGTACACAGATCCATTTTTAATTTTGGAGATTCTGTCATCCATTTTCATTTCAGCTCACAATATGCTGATACTGGGTTGCAGAAAAAATGCTATTAAGATTACTTGTTTTTACAATTTTCTGCAGTAAATGAATTGATCTTTCCACTTATTTGATTTGTGATGATGGCATTTGTCATGTTTCCTTAGGACTGTAATCCAAATTTTAAGAAACCTCTGGCATGAGGAGTGACAGGGGAAATAATGAAAACTTGTTTTCAGGGTGTTTCTTGATGGATGCTATCATTATTTCACTTTTATTTGCTTAAGGCTTTATTTAGGCATACTTTTTTAAAAAAATGCTTTTCCACCTAGGGAAGAAATGTTTTCCAACAACTAAGATATTAAGAAGTCCTTATTGGTGTACATATCTACTAGCCTTCCTATTTTATTTTTTTTCCGTAATACAAAAATGTTCAGAAGATACTAGCTTATTCATATCAAGAAGGAGATTACTTCTTTTGGGAGGGCAGAAAAATCCAAATGGGCCAAAGTAAAACACAATGGAGTTCAGGCACAGATGGCCTGGTGGAGAGAAATCCAGTCAAATCACTTTGAGAAATATACAACACATATGAAGGAAAAAGAACTACTAACTACTAATTGGCTATCGAAGTGAAGCCTCAAAGTTGAGGGTGGGATAACTGGACCAACACAAGCCTATCTACCATGACAGTGTGATTATATTTGAATGCACAACTCTTAGGTACAATTCCAACTGTGCTGTCTTCTAGCTTCCTAACCCTGAATAAGTGATTTAATTTCTCTGTTTCAGATTAATGATTTCTAGAGTAAGGGTAATAACTGTCCTGAAATATGTTTGTTATTTTCTTAGTAATGATGACGACGATGATAATTATGATGATGGTGATGATGATGATGATGATGATGATGATGATGATGACAATGATAACCCCAGAGGATACTATGAATCTTTGTTTTGGAAGGCAGAATGCATCACTAGTGAGAGAGAAGAAATAATAAATTAACAGCAATCTGCTTTGTCTGGTAGTATCTTGTGGGAAAAAATGTGTATATATAAAATATATATAATATATTTTATATATTTGCTTACCTCCAATATCTCCCTGGATCCCTCCCAAACCCCTAACTCTCCATCCCATGAATCTTCAAACTTTGCCCAGGTGACTGCTTCCTATTTTGTGTGACAGGAAGTGTCATGCTAGTGAATGTTAAACAACTGGTCCTTAGGGGAGAGAAACGAGGAGAGCTTGTTTTATAGCACTTACCAATGTCTGTGATGTAAGTACTTCTGAAATGATCAATTCCAAGCTACTAGTGGTGTAACAGTCAGTTCACAAATACTGAAAATGTATCAGTTGGCTTTCAGGGGTCAGTATGAATTGGCTCTACACACTACTCTCAACTTGTTAAATGTTTAATCTTTGCTGACCTTTTAGACCACACTTCTAGTATCCACCTCCATGTCCACAGGAGTGTTTGTGTGATGGCTCTTTCTGGTAATTGGTCTTTGTTATCTAAGTATAGTTGGCCCTCTTATCATCTTTTAAAATAATAACAAAAGTGTTTATTGAAATTACAGGTTTGTTTCCTTTAAAAATACCATGAAACAAAAAGATTCATGAAAGCACCTGTCTATTCAAATTTTATTTGCTGACCCATACCTATGTATGACTCTAAAGATCCAATGGCCAGGAAAACAGACAAGGTTCTGGACTTCATATGGCTCATATTCCACTAGATAAGAAAAACTGATAAAAACATACAAAGAAAATATAAAAAGCCAATTGGATATGCACTTTAGAAGAGATTTACATGGTTAAGAAAGTCAGCAAAAGTAGAAAAGTCTGCCTAAAAAGTGTGGCTTGAGCTAAAAATTTGAAGAAAGCATAGAAAGTAACCAGAAACAAGGGAGAGGAAGGAGAACTTCAGGCATAGGAGATAATGTAGGCAAATAGCAGAGGTATGTTAGTATCACCCTGAGATGGCAAGGACCATAGAATTTCAAGGAGAGTGACAAAATATCATTAAGTATGATTTTTAAAAATCTGGTATCCCAAGACTGTTGCATTGCCACACTGTAGAACCTGATCCAATTTGACCATACAAGTCTTTGCCAGGTATACAGAGCCAGTTGGTAACTTAACTAGAATTAGAATTTATTGTTTTTACTATCATTTAGTATATTTTTACCTTTAAAATTCCACTAAAATACCCCTACAAAAAGCCATCATATATAAATCAACAGTTATAGAATGATTTTTCAATTAGAATAAATGGTAAGAAAAAATTTTTTCATTAAAACTTTAAATAGGTAGTACTTGAGAAAAATAAATTGGATGAAAGACCTAAAGAGTTTTGAAACATATGTTAGATTCTATGTGACTAAGCCTATTTTTACCTCACAACCTACTTCAGCCTTCCCCAAGAAAATAAAGGCCAAAAGAAAGCAACCTTTCCATCCCTTCTTGATTACAGATAACTTATTTTGCACTATATTATTTATCAGCTTATGTTAAAAAGTACAATAAGATCTTTTTCACTTTCTTTTAGCTAATGTGATTAATTATTAAAAGGGGAAATGCAATCAGGTAACTAAGGAGCTATCCAAGAAAATCTGGGTTTTCTCCAAATCTGTATGGCTATTTAACTTTTCTTTGTAAATTTCTACTTGTGCACACGCAAATGCATTTGCACACACATATCCAGAGACACATATACACTTATACACACAATGATAGAAACTAATATTAATAGAGAGCTGGTCATGTGACCAACATGTCTCCAAAGCACTTGACAGATAATACCGTGTTATGTACTTCACAATATCTTATAAAAAAATACAGCATCTTTAATTTTATTCTGCAGATGGAAAAAAATCTACAGATAAAAGATAAGTAGTTGAGAAATTAGGAACATAGGGAAGAATTTTAACTGGAAGGGGCTCAGGAATTGTGATATTGTGATATAGTAAGAAATACACATTTGGTCTCTGCCCTAATTCTTAAAACCCTGGGAATTTTTGAAGTGGTAAGTGTCGTTTTAAATGCTGAGATAACTAGTGGTTGAATTCTCCTGGATAACTTTAGGATGAGGGCTAGCTCTATCTACCTGCCTTCCAGGAAGGAAAAAAAGACTGGAGGCCACATTGATCACCATGGCCAATGACTGAATCACTCAGGACTCCATAATGAAGCCTCTATAAAAACCCAAGACAATAGCTTTTGGAGCACTTCCAGGTTGCTGAACACTGGTCCTGGACGGTTGTGTTCCTGAAGAGAGTGAGGAAGCTCTGCCTCACTTCTCCCAGACCTTGCCCTATGCTTCTCTTCCCTGTGGCTGTTCCTGACTTATATCCTTTGTAATACACCGGTAATCTAGCAAGCAAAGTGGTGTCCTGAGTTCTGTGAGCTGCTCTAACAAATGATCCTTTTCTTTGTAACCAAATTGGATGGAAGTTGTGGGTAATCTGTAGACTTTAGATTGGCATTTCAAGTTGGGGGCAGTCTTGAGCCCTTAACCTGTGAGATCTAATACTATCTTCAGATACATCATGTCTACATTAAATTTAATTATACGATATTCAACTGGTGTTGGAGAATTGCTTAGGATAGGAAAAACGCACACATCTGGTCACAGAGGTGTTTGTGTTGTTGAGAGTATAGTTGGAGAAAACATTTATTTTCTACCATACAGGAACAAATCCCAAAATTTTATGACTGTAACAAGTAGCACAGGGAATCAATCGCAGGCTGTTTAGGCAGTGAAAAAGCAACTTTTGAGTGAGAAAACAAAAACCAAAAACAGGTAACAATACTCATAGACTAGTTTGAAAATAGAACTGACATTAAAGAGGGATATTGTGGGATTTTTAAGAATTTAAATTTTGTAGTTGAACAAGATCATGAAGTAGTCTGGCTGAGGATAATTAGTTATTCAAATATTCAAAAGAAGACAAAGTTTTAGAATCAAGTTGCTAAAATGAAGATCAAGCAAAAGATTGCATATAGCACTGGTGGTAAATAGACCCTAGTTTGACAGGCCTCAGTAGATATCTTCTCCTAGGACATATTACGATCAAGAATTACATGCAATTTCCCTTGCTTGGGTTTTCTTGTTTACATTAACTACTGGGACTCTTAAGTGCTTAAATACTTCAAGGAGACCAGAGTCTTGCTGACTATACTAACAAAATGTAAACACAGCAACTTTTTAAGAAGCGTAATAGTTTTAGCAAAGGTGTCTTGGGCATATTATCAAGATGCTATTAGAAGCCATGCTGTTTTCATTGTTATTGATTCTCATATGTATCTAGCAAGTGATGAACATTCATACATATTTATTTATTGGTGCTATGTCATAAATATCTTTGAATTGTACACACAGCCAAAACCAGCCATGAAAAAGAGAGGGCTAATTTCCCTAAAATGTCACTATCCCTGTGTCAATGGGGAATGACTTCAAGATAATGTAAGTAAATACTTGGGAAATATTTGAGAACATGTAATTATCTTCAGAGTTCTCTCTTTGAAAACATCTTAAACTTTCATCAGTAGATGGTTGTACAAAGTAATCTTGGGAAACAATATTAAAAACTCTCTTCATACTATTATTAATATACAATGCACAAATTAAGTTACTCAAAACCATTTATTTATCTTCCCTTGTACCATCCTTGGAGTTGGTGACTATGTCTTACCTGAAAACCTGGCTGGATTTAAGTCTCTTTTAAAATCTAACATCATATAAAGGACAGAAAGTACATCTGACATCAGTCAAATCAATATGTCAAAATTAGGCTTTGATGAAGGCAGGCAGGGGGAAAAAAATCAAGCACCAGATTTTAAAGTCCAATGTTGATTAGAAAAGCAACAAAATAAGGAAGAAAATGTGTCCAGCAGCTTCTAGCACTTGCTGGTACCAATAATAAATAACAGGAAATGTGGCTGATGTGAAACATTTTTTACTAGGCAAAATTTCACACACCATTTCCGCAAAGACCAATAAAATCATTTTGGAAAAAGCAACTAAGCTGGTCATCAAAGTTGTCAATCCTGTTGCTGGAGAGCTAAGCAAAGAAAATAAAATTATAAACTGTTTTCTTAGAATCTAGCAGAACTCTCAGATAAAAGAGATGTGCAACACATAATATTTTAAAGCAAAGTAAGGCATAACTTCTGTGCATACTGCCTAGGAATTATACTGACTGCAGTCAAATATTTACTCCTTAGAAGTAAATTCGATGTTGGAAACCACTAAAAAAATTATAATTAGAATTATAATCAAATTATTGATAATATTCTTTTATTTTCTTGGCCTCATACATTAATTTTTAGTAAACTAGATTTTTACATGGCTTATAAATTTGTTTGATATTAATGATGATATAAAAATAAATATTTAATAATCAGTGAAGGGTACTAGGCCTAGGCAGAAATATAATAATATAATAATAATAATAATAATAATAATAATAATAATAATGAATAAGACCTAACTTGGACTTTAAGGGTCTTCATTATGGTAAAGAGGAAAAAAATGCCTTCCCAGTAATTATAAAACATAGAATAAGCACCAGTATAGTTTCAAATGATTTTACAATAACTGAAGATGTGATTAACTCATTCAGGCCATCAGATTTTGTATACAAGAAATGGAATGTATATTTGGGAACATCTCAAAGGATGAGTAAGACCTATCAATAGAGAGCATGAGGATATATATACTCTAGGAATATACAAATAAATGGTATGACCAAATTTTAAGACATATGAAAACACATGCTCTGTTCATAATGAGCAAAATAATTAAATTAATACAGGATATATACATTTCTTTATGGGAGAAATGGGGATAACATGCCATAGCCGAGATTGTTAATATCCTTTCTTCTTTGAATAATAATATAAAAAACATCTATATTGCTATGGGTGGTAACGCGCCCAGACAAAACAATCTCAATTTCGAGTCTTGCTAGCTAATTGGTATGGCCAATGAGATGTGAGCCATTAAGTATAGAAGTTCCACGAAAATCTCTTTAAAGGAAACTTAACTAGAAGACCTCTCTTGCTTCATTAGTGTTTTAGCAGCCACATTTCAGCATAAGGAAAAGGGTCACATCCTAAGAATAGTAAAGACTGGTCTCAGTGACATTAAGGACCGAACACATCAGGTCTGAACAACCTACCTGTTTTTTAGTTATATGAAAGAAAAATAAATCCATGTCTCGTTTAACTCAATATTTCTTAAATTTATTAAGAAAAGTTACTCTGAAGATACAGCTTGGGGATCACAAATTTTATGCACACAGTGGTAAGTTTTATTGCTGATACATATGAAGCTTTTAATATTTGTGGCTGTTATTAATAATAACAATAAAGACCAGAGGACTTCCGGAGAATTCCACGTTTGTGGATTTGCATGATCTGAGAAAGAAATTTCTCAAAAGGTGTTTCCAAGCACACAGTGCATTATTATTATCAGAAAACTTGGGGAGCCTCATTTTGATGCCTAAGGTCAAGTGTTCTCTTAAAAAACCCAAGACTAGTTATTTTTATAGCCATGTTTGTGGAAACCTATGAGATAATTTGTTTTAGAATAATTCAAAATTGTTAATAGGCAAGAGCTTTTAAAAGAATTTTTACATTTAGGAAATGCAAGCACTACTTAAGTTATCATCAACTTTGAAATTTCCAAACATCTTTCTTGATAGAGGATGAAAAAGCACAAAGCCTCTTGAATATGAAAGTCCTGCAGCACTCTGTCAGAACTTCCCACTTGTTTAAATATGGTCCAATGACCAGGGCTGGGGGCATCATTGTGACCAACGTGCCCATCCTGTGCCTATTTTCAGCTCTCCCTTCCTGTTGCTCCAGACTTGCCAAGGTCTGGACTTCCAACACAAAGGTTTTCCAAGTGAATTGCTAAAATTATTAAAAATCTGTGTGAACATTTGTTGGGATTTTTGACAAGCTACCTATTCAAAAGGAGAAAAAAGGGACCCCATATTGAGTGAAATAGAACAGATGGTTAAAAACAAGCAATCTGACATTCCTGGACCATTACAATGTTTATGTGAGCGAAAGAATAAGGTGCATTTTTCTTGCCCAACAGAACATTATGTTGTAGTTACCAAATAACTTTCTATGTTTATGGACTAGTTTTATCCCAACATTATCTTATAAAAAGGTAACCTAAATGTCATTTTCAAGTGTTGTTTCTTTTGGCAAATGGGAAAAGTGAGGCTCAAAGAGGTTAAATAACTTGTTCAAATTAATGAAGGTAGTAAGTGCTTTATTTTCTTCATAGAATTTATTGCTACCAAAAAATAACTTTCAAATAGATATTTATCTCCCAGTAAAATGTAAGCTCAATAAAGTCAGGGTTTTTTTTGCTGCTTACTCTATCTCTGTACCACTTGTGACCAGAATAGTGATGATCTCTCAATGGGTCGTAAAAATATAACATGCGTATTTGTGTATGTGTGTATGCATACACACAATGTCATGAGAAAGAACAGAAACTAAATCTGTGTCACTTTAAAACTACTTAATCTGTTTCACAGTGTCATGGCTTATGAATTGTTCTGTTACCATGATGTTATCCCTGCAAGACTCAGAACACTCAAATCCTGTTGTGAAATTTAGTTCTTTTGCATAAAAAGAAAGACATGCAACAAATCAGAGCAAAATGAAAATTAGAGTTCCAATTTATTCCTAGATGTTTAAGTGTCTGATATTCCAATTCAGATCCCAATTAAAAAGGCAGCATAGAAATCCTGATTAGAAACAAAATCTCATTAGAACCTTTTTTTTCTTCCCTCATTCTAAATAATTGAGAGAAACATGCATAGTTATAGATGGAGGAGAATAAGAAACAAGAGGAGCGGCAGAAGAGACAGAGACAGGCTTTCTCTAGAAAAAGCCTGAGCTCAACTATATAAGTCATTTAGACTCCAGAAAATTGTCCAACGTGTTCTGTGGTCCCAGACCTAAGATAATTGCTTACAAAATAGTTTTAAGAGGAAGTAATTTAAGGGATAAGAGAGAAATCTAGGGTTTTTCCCTTTTGAGATAGAATAATTCCACTTATTAATAATTGTGGCCAAATCTCTGACCAATCTCATGTCAATATCTTCCTTAGAGAACATGAATAGAAGAGGAGGTTCATGAAGTAATTGAAGAAGTGGCAGAGGTAAGTCTGTCTTGTGCAAAGGAAGGAATATTTCAGTCACTTCTGTCTATCATTTTTTCCTATTAATCCTGTAAAACCTGTAAGTCAGGCATTTCCTCTTATTTACTGTTCTTAAGTGCTGGAGATAAAAGGAGGAATTGACACTGGAGATTTAAATTTAAAAAAATCAGTATCCAAAATTTGCATCAAACAACATTTTCCCACTGTTCCCATATATAACATTGTGTTTTAATGTGCTGTGTAATATGGAAACTTGATGATGTCTCTGTTTTCTGTGAACTCAAAATCAAACAGTAGTATTAAGAAAATATCAATGGCAGCTGGGTGCGGTGACTCACCCCTGCAATCCCAGCACTTTGGGAGGCTGAGGCGGGCAGATCATGAGGTCAGGAGTTCGAGACCAGCCTTGCCAACATGGCTGAAACCCTGTTTCTACTAAAAATACAAAAATTAGCCAGGCGTGGTGGCAGGCACCTGTAATCCTAGCTACTCGGGAGATTGCGGCAGGAGAATCGCTTGAACCCTGGAGGCAGAGGTTGCAGTAAGCTGAGATCATGCCATTGCACTTCAGCCTGGGCAGAAGAAAGAAGGATGGGAAGAGGAGGGGAGGAGAGGAGAGAGGAGGGAAGGGGAGGGAAGGAAAGGGAAGGGAAGGGAAGGGAAGGGAAGGGAAGGGGAGAGAGAGGGAGGGAGGAAGTAAAGAGAGAGAGAGGTGGGGGAGGGAGGGAGAGAGAGACAAAGGAAGAAAGAAAGAAAGAGAAAGAAAGAAAAAGAAAGAAAGAAAGAGAGAAAGAAAGAGAAAGAAAGAAGGAAAGAAAGAAAGAGAAAGAAAGGGAAAGAAAGAAAGAAAATATTCATGTCAATATAGCATAATATTGTAGAACTGAACAAGTAATTGGCAAGTAAACCTTGGTGGTTTTCACAAAATGTAGAATTGGTAAACTTGCACAAAACCCCATTTTACCGAGCCATTATTTTATGTGTACAAAACATGAGGAAAGGGAAGATAAAATGAGTTATCCAAGGTCACACACCTTAGTTAAGGGGATGTGATACAGAACATGGATGAACTAAATCCAAGAATATCATCTCACATGTTCACCCAACTGAGTTACATCCTGTTGAATGTTTTTGATGTAACATGTTTCATCCATGTGTTAGCACCTGCATACTGGTTTACCTCCATGACATTCTCCCAGTGGCTGTAACCAAGATGTATGCACTTAAAATTTGATAGAAAAGACCAATTACTGTAATTTTCTCTCTTAAGAATTGTAGCTGAATGTCCCTTTTCCCTGGTCCAATATAGGATGCAAACAGCTCTCAAATATGGTAAGGCAGTTAAAATTCAAAATTAACCTATGTCCTTTTTCTTTGCTGTTTTTATTAGAATTCTCCTTTTCTCTTTGTGTCCTCCTTCAAACATTTTATTGTGTTTACTCACTGTCTTAAAATATTGTTGGCAGCAGAATGTATCGGAGTCATATGGCAGCAAAGTATGTTACCAGTGGTGTATCTGTAAGTGTCTGCAGCAACTTCAGTTCTTGCCTCCTCAGAAGAAAGAATTCGACCAAGGGGCATAACGTAGAGTGAGAGACTCTACCTCTAGAGTCCCAACTTTTAGAGCCAGAGTGAAAGTTTATTAAAAAGTCTTACAGCAGGAATGAGAGGAAGTAAAGTACACTTGAAAGAGGGCCAAGAAGGTGACTTTAGAGATCAAGTGCACTGTTTGGCCTTTGACTTGGGATTTTATACACTGGCATACTTCTGGGGTCCTGCGTCCCTTCTCCCCTGATTCTTCCCTTGGGGTGGGCTGTCCACATGCTCAGTGGCCTGTAAGCTCTTGGGAGGGGCTGTATGTGCAGTGTGTTTACTGGAGGTGTGCGCATCCTCACTCGAGGTGTTCTTCTCTTACCAGTCTAGCTTTCCTAGAAGAATGTCATATACTAGTTAAACTCTGCCATTTTGCCTCTTAGTACGCATGCTTGGGCCCATTCGCCCAACTCCTGAGATCTTATTGGGAAGCTACTGATCACCAGTTTCAGGTTTTTTTCCAGCTACTGGGAGAGGGCCTTTCCCTGGTGCCGGCTGTGACTAATTACTATTTTAGAGAGGCAGTTTAACAACCACCTACCCTTCACCAGATGGTAGCCTGACATTCCTGGTTGGGGGTTGGGGATCCCCTCTCCTGCCCTGCTCATGTCTGACTACCTACTATAACAATATGAAAAGGGAATAAAGGAGGAAAAAGTTATAATAACCGCCGATTAGCTGTATGAAAGAAGCAAATCTCACAAGATACCTGTTTTTCTCTTTCTCTTTGGAGAGAAGACATGTTATTAATCCTACCTGCTTGTCAGAAATAGAGAGCATAGATTTAAAAAAAAAAAACCAAGAGAATGAAGTAGGAAAGACAGAAAAAGTAATTTCTTAGATTTTGAATTTTGAAATCTACAACTCTCAGGAAGACTATGAATACTGGAGCATAGACAAAGTGGTTGAAAGAAAATAAAGACACAATTCAATAATAAGTAGGTCTCTCTCACCTCCTTCTCAAGCCTTGCCTGGGAGGTGATAAACAATAATTTTTCTGTTAAGGTAGTACAGAGAAACAGATCAGAACAGAGTCATCAATAAGTCCTGTATGGGGATGCAAAAAAGGCCTTTTTCCTGCTTCCAGGACAATCTTGACGTGAAAGTAAGACATCAGAAAGGGAAAGCTTGCTGGGCCGGATTAGGTAAATTGGAGCAAAGTTACCCAGGTGGAAGTATTTGTGTCCCAGCAGGACACAGAAGCAATACAGTATTCTAGTGCCTCCAAGTGGGAGACTCATGTATTGAAGAAAGCCTTCAGTACTGAAAGGGGAGGAATATTCTGGCATATGTGAATAGGGATCTATGTGCACAAACTGGAGAATAAGGGCCATCTGTCTTCCTAGCCCTAAACTAAGCTATGCACAGCTCTCCTGAGTTGAGACTCAGACATCCAGCCTTCCTGCCAAAAATTAAAAAGAAAAGCCCCAAAAAGACTGAGATTAAGTTTCTGCTACCATGGTGGAATAATGAAGGTTGACAATGGAAATAAACTAGGTTTAATTCTTAGGAAAAAATTCATGTGTGTGTGTGTGTGTGTACTGCTTACACACTTAATGCAGGGGCAACAATCTTCTCTTAAGATACACAACACTGACAGAGTTTGCCTTTTCTGTAGAAGAATTCTGCAACACAAAGTTATCAATCACATACTTCTAAACATTTGTTGTGTGATGGAGAAGAAAATTGTTTTATTATCAGGCAGATTTACATTAATGATGGTGATGATGGTGATGATGATGATGACAAAGATGTTCTCTGAATATACACATGCATATTATGGCCTGTCAAAAAAGAAGGAAGAAAATATTATAGATACCAATATATTATATGGTTTCCATGCTGCTTTTATTTTAAATGCTCACATCATTGCTATTCCAACTTTTGTTGAACTGAAGGGACCTGCTTTTATTTAACACATAAAGTTTTCTGTCTCTCAGGTTCCCACCTGACCCCAGATGCTCTATGTCTGTCAACGTTGCTTCTTCTTGAAGAGAATGACAGAAAAGAAGAATTCTATGAATCTGAACATTCCCTGTATCAGTAAACAGTAGAAGTTCAGTCATGCATTTATCATAGAGGTTGACAGATATGAACCCCAAATAGGAAACAGAGAAAGAAAAAGATTGAGAAGGCGTTATTGAAGTTTTTGGTGGAGTCAACATGTTGGAGATGCAAAATGTTTTGACTCCCCTTCCTAAAACAGATTAATCACCTTTATGTAGTCTCAGGATACTCTTTATAATTTCTTGAGGGAATGCATTGTATTTTGCAGTTCCATTTGTATTTTCATTGTTTGCTACATAGCTAGTTTTCCTGTTTCTTAAAAGTCTGACCTACTAATTGAAGTTTACTGTTCTTTGTATAATAGATAATGGCTTAAGGTGCCTGTTTCCTTTGTGATCACAGAAATTATGGTATTATACAACACATAGTAGATGCTAAATAAGTAATTTTTGAACAGATTTCTTTTAAATTGACATATAACACTGTATGTGTTTGTTGTATAAAACATGACATTTCATGGTACATACACGCATTGTGAAAGGGTTCAATTTAGCTAATTAACAAATGCATTGCCTCATATAGTTATCATTTTTGTGAAAAGAGCTCATAGCATCCACTCTCTATTTTTCAAGATTACAATACATCATCATTAACTATAGTAATCTTGCTCTATAATAAATCTCTTGAGATTTAGTCCTCCTATCTAACTATAATTATATATCCTTTAAACAACATCGTCCTGATCCCTTCTCCCCTCTACTAACCCCAGCCTCTGGTAGCTACCATTCTACTTTGTATTTCAATGTGATCAGCTTATATTCCATATGTAGGTGAGATCATGCATTATTTGTCTTTCTGTGCCTGACTTATTTCACTTAGCATGATGTCTTCTATGTTCATCCATGTTGTGGCAAATGGCAGGATTTTGTTAATTCTTATGGCTGAATAATATTCCATTGTGTGTATGTACTACATTTTCTTTATCTGTTCATTGATTGATGGGCACTTAGGTTAATTCCTTATCTTGGCTATTGCAAATAGTACTGTGATAAGCATAGGAGTACAGACATCTCTTCTGCATACTGATTTCAATTTCTTTGGATATATACCCAGTAGTGAAATTACTGGATCATATGTTAGTTCTATTTTAAATTTTTTGAGGAATCTCCATACTGTTTTCCATAATGACTATGCTAATTTACATTCCCAGCAGAAGTTGTCTGGTTATCATTTGTCTTTCTGATGATGGCCGTTCTAACAGGATTGAGGTGATATTTCCTTATGGCTTTGATTTGCATTTCCCTAATTATTAGTGATGTTGAGAATGTTTTCGTATACCTCTTGGCCATTTGTATGTATTCTTTTGAGAAACATCTATTCAGGTCTTTTGTCCATTTTTAAATTGCAGTATTTGGCTTTTTTACTATTGAATTGTTTGAGTTCCTTTTATATTCTGGATATTAACCTCTTATTAGATATATGGTTTACAAATATGTTCTTCCATTCTGTAGGCTGTATTTTTCTCTCCTCTGATTTTTCCTTTGCTGTGAACCAGCTTTTTAGCTTGATGTAATCCCTTTTGTCTATTTTTCCTTCTGTTATTTCTGCTTTCGAGGTCTTACCCAAAAAAATCCTTGCCCAGAGGAATGTCATGAAGCATTTCCCCTGTGTTTTCTTCAGTAATTTCGTAGATTGACATCTTACATTTAATTCTTTAATTTATTTTTAGTTAAGTTTTGTATATGCTAAGGGATAAATGTCTAATTTTATTCTTTTGCATGTATATATCCAGTTTTTCAACACCATTTATCGAAGATACTGCCCTTTCCCCACTGTGTATTCTTCGTGCCTCTGTTGAAAATCAGTTGGCTATTGATGCATAGATTTATTTCTGGGCTTTCTATACTGCTACATTGGTCTGTCTGTCTGTTTTTATGACATTTATGGCAGTATCATCCTGTTTTGTTTACTATAGCTTTGTAGTATACTTTGAGATCAGGTAGTGTGATGCCTCCAGCTTTTTTTTTTTTGAGCCAGGGTTGTCTCCATGTTGCCAAGGCTTTTCTCAAACTCCAGGGCTCAAGCAATCCTCCTGCCTCGTCCTCCCGAACTGCTAGGACTGTACGGGCATGAGGCACCATACCTGGCTGTTTTTGTATTTGTATATTCAGCATTGTTTTTGTATTTGTGTATTTTTTCACTCAAGATTGCCTTGGATATTTGGGAGTCTTCTATAATTCCAAACAAATTTTGTGATTTTAGTGTTATTCCCGTGAAGAATCTCATTGGTATTTTGATAGGGATTGCATTGAATCTATATAGATCATGATGGATAATTTGGAGATTTTAAGCAATGTTAATTCTTCAAGTCCATGAATATAGGTTATTTTTCCAGTTAATGGATTTTAACTTTTCTTCTAAATCACAATTTTTCATTGAATTGATCAGTCTTTTGGCAAAAGATCAATTACAGATCATAATATGCAATGGATACAGATGTATTGTATCAAATATTGTTTGCATGAGGGAAAAGCCAGAAATGTATCTGCAGTAATCTTATAGAGTTTGTAAATGCTAACTTATATTATTTCTAGTTAATATGGTAACTACTAGGAAACTTCATTCTTATGGTTACAAACTGAAAAAAGCCACATGGTTCACTTAAGAGTATACAGAATTTAGAGTCTGACAATCTTTTTCTGATTATGTTCCAGGCCCACATAAATGTAATTTGCAACTTTGGGATACTATTCCACAGCCCTGATCTTAATTTTCTTAATAATATAAGGATCCTGAAAGAATAAACATTATACTGACTACACAGAATAATTTGTAAAAATCCTAGGTGAATGTAAATTAGGTGCTTAATAAATCCTAGCTAGAGTCCTTTCTTGTCTACAGTTTTCAAAACACTCCTTTGAGAATTATACTTTCTATATGGCAGAATGAGTTCCCAGAAGACCAAACTCTATACAGATAGAAATTATAACTCTGGAGAAAATATACAAAAAAATAACTACCTTGAAGCTCTACGGAGTGAATAAAGGTGTGCAGATTCTGGAGTGAGTGAAGATGTGAAGGAAGAATCCAACACAGGGAGGGTACCCTATCATTGCCAGTTTGGATTAAGGATGGGCCACAGTACTACTCTGGTTGAGAACAGCTGGATCTCTGTTTAAATGTATTGTCTTTTGGACTGAGAAGAGAATACCGTATCAGAGAGGACTAAAAAGGCAGGGCTCCACATTCTGTGTGTAAACTCTGCCCAAGCTGAGTCCCATTGACTCCTGAACCATATGCTGATACTATGAAAAGATCAATCAACATTATTTAAATAAATACATCACAAGTAAAGATAAATGATGCCAAAAAAGAGATAAAAAGATGTTCAGCCTCATTAGACATCAAGAAAATATAAATTAAAACCACAAAGATATGCCACTACCTACCTTTTAGAAGGGCTGAAATAAAAAGAGCTGATGGTATTGAGCGTTAGCAAGAATATTGGTTTCATAGTTGAGATTTTTGTCCCTTCCACATCTCATGTTGAAATTTGATCCCCAAGGTTGGTGGTAGGGCCTAATAGAAGGTGTCTGGGTCATGGTGGTGGATCTTTCTTGAATAGATTAATGGGGGGAGGATGAGAGCTGAGTAAGTTCTCACTGTATTAGTTCCTAATAGAGCTGGTTGTTTGAAAGAGCCTAGCACCTCCTCTGTCTGTCTTGTTTCCTCTCGTTTGATCTCTGCAGGCTCTTTTTGGGCCCTCCTTCACCTTCAGCCATGAGTGGGAAGCAGCTTGGAGCCTTTACCAGAAGCAGATGTTGGTTCCATGCTTGTTTGTCAGCTTGCAGAACCAAAAGCCAAGTAGGCCTCTTTTCATGATAAATTATTCAGCTTCAGGTATTCCTTTATAGCAACACAAATGGACTAAGACAATTGGCAAGAGCTCTCATGAATGCTAGCAGAAATATAAAATGGTGCAAGAAGTTTTGAAAACTGTTTGGCAGTTTCTTAAAAATGTTAATCACATGCTCACAATATGACTTAAATTTACTGATGAGAAATAAAAATGTATGTCCATACAAGGTCTTGTATGGTATGATCACAGCAGCTCTATTCTCAGTAACTAAAATCTCTGGATAGCACAAATGTCATTCAAGTTTAATGGACAAATAACAAGCATTATGTTCTCTCAGGGAAAAAAGGAAGGAATGGAAGGAGGTGGGAACAAAAGAAGGAATGAAGGATAGATGGAAGGAAGGATGGAAGGAAACATGGATGGAAGGATGAATGGAAGGATGATTGGAAGGAACTACTAATGCATGCAAAAACAGACACATCTCAGAAACATGTGGAGTGAGAGAAATGATATGAAAAAGAGAATCTTATTTAAAAATTAAAAATTGTAAAACTTATGAAGAAAGCTTGATATTTTGAATAAATTGTGCTGAATCAATTCGATATCTGTATAAGAAAAAATAATGCACTTGCCTTTTGTTATATTCAGAAATCAATGTCTGATGAGTCGCATATCTAAATATGAAATATAAAACAGCAAAGTTTCTGTGGGAAAACATAGGAGAGCTTTATTATGAATTGACATAGATATATAAAACCTGTGTTCACCATAAAGCATACACTAAAATATTCATAGTTACACTGCTCATATTAGCCAAGAATGAGAAACTTGTAGCTGTGGTAATGAGCTGATTCTTGGTCTGAATGCTGGTTATAAGATACGTCCAATTTGTACAACTTATCAAGCTGAATATTTAAGATGTACGCACTTTCCCTATATATAACATAGTTCAATAAAAAGATAAAGTATTTATTGCAAAGATAAAATACTTACACATTATTTAGCACATAGTAACTAGTCAATAAATACTATGTATTATTATTATTATTATTATTGTCATTATAAGTATCTCTGTCTCCATCACAAATGATGGACCAAAAAATGTTTAGTAGTCTATTCGCACTACTTTATAATTAGTTTTCATAAGCACATATCTTAAAAATTGACTTTTTTTAATGTTTTTTCCTCTCCTTTACTGTGAGTTCCTTAAGGTGCAAACTATGACTTTTTCTTAAATTTTTTTAAATTCAGACACCACTTCTAAAAATCAACATTATTGAGAGAATATATGTGCCTATATTCACACACATGCACTATCACACACAAACAAACACTCATATAAAGAGTTCCTTCCATTCCCTTTAATTCTGAATGCAGGTAAGGAATTTTAAAAAGACACATGATAAGAATGATCATTACTCTCTTCTACGGTGCTTTGACATTTATGTGGTACTAATATAAACATAAAAAATAACACAGCCATTATTGAATCATTATCGGTTTGTTTGTTTTACGTTCATTGGTTGAAATTTGCACCATGTGCATGCGCATGAGTGTTCAGTTACAGACTCACGTGCACTACGTTTTATTCCCAGAAGTAAAACTGAAGCACCCAGTGAAGCTAGAGTAATTACTGAATATTGTAAAAGTGTATGTGTGCGAGCACTTATGTTCCCCCTGATTCTCTTATTACATGATTTAGCCTTGTTTCTTCTTCCTTTCTTTTTTATTTCCACATGAGCTAATGAGTATTTTAGTGCTGAAAGATACAGCATAGCATACAGAGAGAATTCCAAGCAGTACAAAAGGTTTTTCTACGTTTATTTATTATTAATAGTAATGATAAAAATAACTATAATTTATTGATCACCAAACCTATGACCACCATTAGGGTAAGAGGTTTATATTATAGCACATTCTTATCCTAGTATTTTTTTTTAAGATGCAGAAACTGATGTCCAGGGTAATACAAAACTTACTCAAGGTCATAGTAAATAAGTGGCTGAACTGAGATTTAAAAGCTGACTCTATTGGCTTGTCTTGCATTTCAAAGCAAAGATTCTGATCCTAGAATATTTTATGAATAATTTCTTTATTCCTTTGCTATTTAAGTTCTCCCTCTCTTTTTATTTATTCTCTGCCTTTCTGTATTTCTCACCTAATACATTGTTCCATGTCGGTAGGATCAAAAGAAGGGTTTATATTGCGGATTTAATAAAGGCTCTGTCTATAATCTGGGCTTTCTATGGGCTGTCAAGAGGGAATAGTCTAAGCTGAGGGAAAATGAAGAGCAGAGCACAGAAATGAATGTGCATGGAGGGGAAATAGGAAGAGAGAGTAATCCAATTTGGCCGGATGTAAAATTGATTACAGTTTGTGGGGGAAGATAGGGGACATTGAAACCACTCCATTAATAACTTTGGCTTAAAGGCTTGATGTGTACAATGGTCATGGTTATCTTCTCTACTCCTGTGCCTCTTGGAAATAAGACAAACAAAGTGAAGTGGAACATGCATTTTAAAAAATGACATTATGGTTAGGAAAACGAACCAATAAAGGAGTTAGACTTTACAGTAGACTCCACACATTCCCTCCAAGTAAGTTCAAATTATTATTAAATGTCAGGGACTTCTCCCAGTCATAGATGACTGTCATTTAGTCCATATATGGTTCTCGGGGGAGGGGGGTGGTAGGGGAGTTGAACAAGAAGAGTAACATAGCAGTGTGAGAAATGGGTTAATTTAAAAAGTGGGAGAGATTTTCACCAGTGACCGTATTTGTGTGAAATTTTTGGAGAATGGAACCAATGACCAATGAAAATGTCCAGCAAGCTTTCTGAAAACCATGTGCATGGACCTCTTGGGTGCCAGTTTGTAAGACAAAACAACAACAACAACAACAACACACACAACCATAATGTTTATTGTTACTGATGGATATTCAGTACCTGAGAAGTTCTATTTGTAATTTCTTTAAATATGACTTTATTAACAATGCAAGCCATGTGGAACCTGAAAATTATCAAGGTTACATAATTGTTTAAATATTTTTCTTCGGCCAGGCGCGGTGGTTCAAGCCTGTGATCCCAGCACTTTGGGAGGTCAAGTGGATGGATCACAAGGTCAGGAGATCGAGACCACCCTGGCTAACACGGTGAAACCTAGTCTCTACTAAAAATACAAAAAAAAAATTAGCCGGGAGTGGTGGCGGGAGCCTGTAGTCCCAGCTACTTGGGAGGCTGAGGCAGGAGAATGGCGTGAACCCAGGAAGCAGAGCCTGTAGTGAGCCGAGATCGCACCACTGCACTCCAGCCTGGGCAACAAGCTAGACTCCGTCTCAAAAATAAATAAATAAATAAATAAATATTCTTCTTCTCTCCCCTTCACCCCCTTCCCTTTCTTTCTGTTCCCTTCTCTTCCTCCTTTTATTTCTTCTTTTTTAAGAATATAATCTTGAAAGTGATTCTAGGAAGGCAGGCAGGAAGATGAGATGGTAAACAACGCAGGGGCAGATATTAGCAATTCTGGTTTAAAGTTTCAAATATGCTGCTCCATTTTACTTGTATGCCTTGGATCGTATCTTGAAACTCAGGATGTCTTAGTTTCTTCTATTAAATAAGGCAGATGAACCCCCGCCATCTTTCAGTCACTGTGCACTACCTCAGTCCCATCAAAATTCTCTGAGGTAAGTACCATTATTTCCCCCATCTTACAAAAGAGAAAATTGAGCCACAGTGATGTCATATTACGCCAAAGTAGCAAAATCAAGATGCTGAGAAAAGATCACTCTCTTAAATTGAATATTCCAATCGGAAAGTTAGAATAATGCAAACATAAAGAGAGCTGTCTTTGTCATCACACGGATCTTGGTACTATGAAATCTCTAGTTTACTGAGTCTATTTTTTGAAATGTGCCTCACTGATTATATCCTATTCATCAAATAACAAGTCTAAGGAAAATATTCTATTATTTTTCAGCCACTGTGGTAAATGGAAGATGCCAGTGCCCTTCAAGTACTTTAACGTACTTTAAAGTTTCCAAGAGCTGATCTGATTGAAATAGTTGGAGAAAAAATTGAAACAAAATTTTGTGGAAATTTCTTTATTCTATTAATCCTGCTCAGACAAAAATGATCACTTTCAATTCAACTAATCGTGCACTTGTAAAGCTTTTTGTCTTCATGGACAAGGTAGACAGAGAACTTCACTGTCAAAATACAGCTACTAGCTGTCTTCCCTGCTTACCAGTTTTAACAATAGTCATTTCAAAAGAAAGCTGCACAGTGGCTAGAAAAATGCCTGTTGGGAAGCCAGCGGCAAAAATCACCTCTCTTTAAATGAGAAAATATGTGACAAATACACCATTTAAAATTATAGATTAAAATGCCTTTGGCAAGTCTAGAAGTAAAATAGCAAAGCTATATTTCTGACACTGAGTACGTAATATTTATTTATAGTTAGAGGTATTAAATGTGAGCAAAGGAGATGGTGAAAATTTAATGACAATAAATGATGCATTCGATGGTAAAATTAGCTAAACTTTTTTGATATTTACCAAATCATGTTTTAATATTTATTTATATAATTTTAGTGTTATCTGTATAATATCTTTATGACAAAGGTGCCTACATTATTCCCATTTTATAGAAGAAATTAAAAGATGTAGAAGATCATTAATTGGCTCAAGTCACACAACTAGTTATTGCAGAAAAATCAGATTCAAATCCAAGTGATCTCACATTAAGCCTACACAATTGCATACTACACCACAATGCATCTCATATGAGCAGTCATTCTTTTATACAATATTCACAATAATCTCATTAAATATATATGATCAATATTACCACGTGGTATGTATAATCATCTCCATTAAAGCTATGAGGAAGCAGCATTTCAGAGGGATTGGCTTTTTCAAGTAGTTGGCTAATGCATCTGAGAATATACTGAACCAGGAGGTACATTTCTTTTTCACTAATTCTGATTATTCTGAATCACTGCACTTTGGGTTGTTGTCAGGAAATAACTACTCCTCTCTGAAATTCATGTTATGAAAACCTATGCCTAATCATTCATGGAGGTTTGGCAAGATGTTTATGCTAGCAGGAAGTTTAATTCCTCATAATTCCCAATTACCTTAACAATTTCAACGCCTTCTCTAAAGAACTTTCTACTACTGCATTTACATCCTCTTTCAAAGAAACCTCTCATGTAATTAGTGCTTTGTCCCCAAATGACAAGTTGCAAATGAGGCATTTTCCTTTAAAATGTTTCCAACTTGGGGAAATAATTTATCCAAGCGGGGGACCCTTCTCACTGACCCCCAACACCTGGAAACCACAGAACCTTGATCACCAAGCTATACTTTCTTGCATTTCAAAGAAACACCACAAAGAAAATAAGCATTACAATATTTTGACTTGCAATACAGAGGAAGAAATGTTATTATTCTGAAGCTTTAGTATTTAGCTAGTATCTAAAGCTTGAGTACAGGCAATACAATTCTGGCATTTACATCCCCTGGACTTATATGCTGATTGAATTAAAAATTGTATTTCTTTTATTTATTGAGTCTTAACCTTAAGGAAAATGTTTGGCCATGAGGGAAGAGGCATTAATAATTAAATTGAATTATTGGCACTTGGCTAATTAAATATCACATTGGAAATTAATTTGTAACCTACACAACCCTTTTCATGGTGCTGGTTACACATACACACATCATCTCTGACACCTAGAAGAGAAGTTTCACTTTCCAAAAGCTGAGCATTGCATGTGTATAGTACCTTCCTTAGAATGCATATAAGACTGTGAGAAAGTAAAGAAAACTTTTAACTTTAATTTTATTTTATGTTCAGGGGTACATGTACAGGTTAGTTATATAGGTAAACTCAGGTCAGAGTGGTTTATTGTACAGATCACTTCATCATCCAAGTAATAAGCCTGGTACCCAATAGTTACCTTTTCTGCTCTTCCGCCATAAGCTGGGCCCCAGTGTCTATTGTTCTCCTCTTGGTGTCCACATCTTCTCATCATTTAGCTCCCACTTATAAGTAAGAACATGAGGTATTTGGTTTTCTGTTCTTACGTTAGTTTGCTAAAGATAATGGCCTCCAACTCCATCCATGTTCCCACAAAGAACATGACCTTGCTTTTTATGGCTGCATAGTATTCCATGGTGTATACATACCACATTTTCTTTATCCAATCATCCATTGATGGGCATTTAGGTAGATCCCATGTCTTTGTTATTGTGAATAATGCTGCAATGAACATATTCATGCATGGGTGTTTATGAGAGAATTATTTGTATTTCTTAGAGAATGTACCACTAATGGGATTGCTGGGTCAAATGATAGTTCTGGTTTTAGTTCTTTGAGTAATCATCACACTCTTTTCCACAATGATTGATCTAATTTACACTCCCACCAACAGAATGAAACGTACCTCAAAAGAGTAAGTGCCATCTATCACAAATTCACAGCCAACATCATAATGAATGGGCAAAAGCTGGAAGCATTCCCCTTGAAAACTGGTACCAGACAAAAATGCCCTCTGTCACCACTCCTATTCAACACAGTATTAGAAGTCCTGGCCAGAGAAGTCACACAATAGAAAGAAACAGAGGGTATCCAAATAGGAAGAGAGAAAGCCAAACTCTCCCTGTTTGTAGAAGACACGATTCTATATATAGAAAACCTCATAGTCTCAGCCCAAAAACTCCTTAAACTAATAAACAACTCCACCAGTGTTTCAGGATACAAAATCAACATATAAAAATTAGTAGCATTCCTATATACCAACAACAGCAAAGCCAAGAGCCAAATAAGAAACACAATCACATTCACAATTACCACAAAAAGAATAAAATACCTAGGAATACTGCCAACCATAGAAGTGAAAGATCTTGTCATGAGAATTACAGAACACTGCTCAAGGAATCAGAGATGACACAAACAAATGGAAAAATATTTTATGCTCATGGTTAGGAAGAATCAATAATGTTAAAATGGCCATATTGCCCAAAACAATGTACAGATTTAATGCTATTCCTATCAAACAGCAATGACATTCTTCACAGAACTAGAAAACAAACTATTTAAAAATTTATATGGAACCAAAAAATAGCCCTAAGGGCCAAGGCAATCCTAAGCAAAAAGCACAAAACTGGAAGCATCATGCTACTCCACTTCAGGCTATACTACAGTGCTACAGAAACCAAACCAGCATGGTACTGGTACAAAAACAGACACATAGACTGGTGGAACAGAATAGAGAACCCAGAAATAAGACCACACACCTACAACTATCTTATCTTCAATAAAGCTGACAAAAACAAGCAATGGGGAAAGGACTCCCTATTCAGTAAATGGTGCTGGGATTACTGGCTAGCCATATGCAGATTAAAACTGGATTCTTTCATGCCTCTAATCCCATCACTTTGGGAGGCCGAGGTGGGTGGATCTCCTGAGGTCCGGAGTTCAAGACCAGCCTGGCCAACATGGAGAAACCCCGTCTCTACTAAAAATACAAAAATTAGCCAGGCATGGTAGTGCATGCCTGTAATCCCAGCTACTCAGGAGGCTGAGGCTGGAGAATCGCTTGAACCTGGGAGGCGGAGGTTGCAGTGAGCCAAGATCACGCCACTACACTCCAGCCTCAGCAACAGAGTGAGACTCTGTCTCAAAAAAAAAAAAAAAAACCCACAAAACTGGATCCTTTCCTTACACCATATGCAAAAATCAATTAAGATGGATTAAAGACTTACATAGAAAACCAAAAAACCATAAAAACCCTGAAGACAACCTAGGCAATACCATTCTGGACATAGGAACTGGCAAAAATTTCATGACAAAAAAGAAACTTTTTTTATGAGGATTGTGAGCCACTTTAAATTATCAGTCCCAGAGAGAAAACACCATAAAATTAACAATGGCATATACTGAACATCATAATTCATACCTTGTTTTCAACAATGTACAGCCGATGACTAACCAGTGTTATTTCTGTAAACCAATAAGAATTCCTGTCCAACAATTGTGTTCCAGTCCACTCCTTGCCTTTGTCTTCTATTTTATAACTTGCTTGTAACAAAGGCCAGACAGAGCCCTCCCCAAGGTAATTTGAAGGTGTGTCCCAGGCAGCTGTTCTCAACCTTGGCCCAAATAAACTCTCTATATTAATTTTGCCTAGGCTTCATTTTTTTTGGCTCACACAGTATACAAAGGTCAGTTTGTATTCTGGGCTTTTTTCTTTTTCTTTGAAATATCTACAATTCCAATAGTTATTCCTCAGTAATTGCTGATTTCTTTATCTGATGGAACTAGTACTAGTTTCTTGATATTGAAGTGTGAGTAAGACAAACATCCCCGGCATCATGGTACCCCCTGACTATTGGTTTTAGTATTTGTTCTTCCTTTTTTTCTGAGATGGAATCTTGCTCTGTCATCCAGGCTGGAGTGCAGTGGCACAATCTCGGCTCACTGCAACCTCCACCTCTTGGGTTCAAGTGATTCTCCTATCTCAGCCTCCCTTGGGATTACAGGCGTGTGCCACCACACCCAGCTAAATTTTGTATTTTTAATAGAGACAGGGTTTTGCCATGTTGGCCAGGCTGGTCTCGAACTCCTGACATCAGGTGGTCCACCTGCCTCCGCCTTCCAAAATGCTGGGATTACAGGTATGAACAACTACGCCCAGCCTTGTTCCTCTTGATGACAGCTGAACAATTGATACTCATGTTAACAAGCTGTACTCTACAAGCAAGCTCAGAAGGTGATTCTTCAACAAATCTACTTCCACAAGAAGATTCAGTGCTATCTCTATTTACTGATAAAGACATCTCATTTTAATAATGTGAAGGCTGACACCAAATCAGTCCCATCTCTTGGAAAAAAAACCTTGATCCAGACTGCCTGGGGACTTTCCAGGTTGAATTATCATTGTTGTTTACCTGATTGTGCCACATCTACCCACTTGACCCAGGTACTATGACTAGCAGGGTAGAGGTGATTAGGCATCTGTAGACATAAAACATTCCCTCTCAATACTTTCTCAGATTTGAAACATGAAATAATTATTATTTTCAAAAAGTGACCTTGCATTTGTAATGATTATACTATGAGGACTGCCCTGTTATTGGACCACTTTTATAGCATTTAAATTTTTTAGGTGCAGTGGCTCACGCCTTTAATCTCAACACTTTGGGAAGCCAAAGCAGGAGGACCACTTGATCCCAGAAGTTCAAGACCAGCCTGGGCAATATAGCGAGACCATGTTTCTACAGAAAAAAAAAAAAAAAAAAAGAGAGAGAAAGAAAAAAAAATAGCCAGGTGTGCAGGTGTGCACCTATAGTCCCAGCTTCTTGGGAGGCTGAGTGAGAGGATTGCTTGAGCCCAGGAATTCAAGGTTATAGTGAGCTATGACTTTGCAACTGCAACTGCACTCCAGCCTGGGTGACAGAGCAAAGCCCTGTCACTAAATAAATAAATAAATAAATAAATAAAGGTTTCCATCGATCTTGGCTAATAATGGTATTTAAGTTGTGTGCTATTATTTATAGTTCAGAAAAATATACCGTTGGAGCATAGAACATGATACCTCAAAGTAGAGCACTTTGGCACACTGAGTGTTTGGAGCTAAAGGCATTGGAATGGCCTCAAAAGCAAGGACTTTCTGACCTTCTCCTGCCCTCCTCTCTCCCACCCCACTTTGTCCCCCAAAGGGAATCGGAGAAACCAGAATTTCCCTTACCCAAAGGAGGTAATAGAAATTGGAACTCCTAGGCCGGGCACAGTGGCTGATGCCTGTAATCCCAGCATTTTGGGAGGCCGAGGCAGGCAGATTTCCTGCGCTCAGGAGTTTGTGACCAGCCTGGGCAACACGGTGAAACCCTGTCTCTACTAAAATACAAAAAAAAAAAAAAAAAAAAAAATTAGCCAGGCGTGGTGGCATGCGCCTGTAATTCCAGCTACTTGGGAGGCTGAGGCAGGAGAATTGCTTGAACATGGGAGGTGGAGGTTGCAGTGAGCTGAGATTGCACCACTGCACTCCTACCTGGGCAATAGTAGAGTAAGACTCGGTCTCAAAAAAAAAAAAAAAAAAGAAAAGAAAAAAAAAAAGAAATTGGAACTCCTCTTTCTCAAGCAAAGCTATAAAACCTAGAAAAGTCATTTTCTTCTCCCTTCTCTACGACCCTCATTCCAGAGGGGTCCTACCCTATAACTAAGGGGAAAAAATGCTACACAGAAAGGCCAATAGAAATCTAGACAAACAGAGCCTATATGTCTATTGGGGTCTATTGGGTTTCCTCCCTTTGTCTATTACCATGAGAGCCTATCCTTTTGTCCAATCACATATTACGTGGCCGTTCATTCTTCATTGAGCCTACACATAAAAATTGGCAGCTTTTTCTGGGTCCTTGAGTCTTCATTTCTGAAGAGCGCCACATAAAACTTTGATTAAACAAATTTGTTATGCTCTCCTCTTTTTAATTTGTGTTTCGTTATAGAAGCATTAGCTGTGAGCCTTACAACGGGTAAGGAAAGATACTACACCTTCTTACCCCTGCAATACTCTCCAATTCATACACATAAACTTAAAATCTTTAAAACATTTTAAGCAGAAAGAGGAAAGTGACCCTGATTTCTGCTCATCTTAAAGGAAGACTGAGCTCCTAGCCCACCCACATGTATTCCTTCCTGTGCTTCCCTTTGGAATTGATGTGGTAAATGTGCTCTTTAAGTCACTGGGAGTGGCCAACTGCAGTGATCTATTTAAGTCATTATTTTAAGAAATAGACTTATCAAGTTTTATATTGCTACTTACAAGAGTCTGAACTCTAGACATAGGTGTGTCTACAGACTTATGGCCACCTAAGGTTACATAAGGGAAAGGGCTAATCTAATAATGGCCTAATGTCATTCCAGTGGAAAGCAGGATTTTAATTCCTAACTGATCAGACTACTGCCACTTCAGTGATGTACAAACTTTCATTTACTTTTTTAAATAAATAAATACTTAAAACACTTATTAATGTTTATTTACTTTTTTGTATCATATGTTATTGTCCTTATTTTTATTTATTTACTTATTTATTTATTTATTTTTACTACAGACAGGGTCCCACTCTGTCACCCAGGCTGGAGTGATACAGTGGCACAATCACTGCATCCTTGTTCTCTTGGGCTGAAGTGATCCTCCAGCCTCAACCTCCCAAGTAGTTATGAATACAGGGGCACACCTCCTCATCCAGCTAATTTTTAAATTTATTGTAGAGCCAGGGTCTCACTACATTGCCCAGGCTGGTCTCAAACTCCTGGCCTTAAGTGATTCTCCCCCGTTGCCTCCCAAAGTTCTGGGATTATAGGTATAAGTCACCATGCCCAACCAATGTCCTTGAATTTTAAACTGCCAAACGGTCAATTATATAGGTCTTTAATTTGTTATTTATTTGTATATCCACTGAGTTGAAAGTGATAGCTGAACATTATTTATCTCTTAGAAGTAGGAGAAGAGAATGGGAACAAGAGTGTGGAAAAAAAAGGAAAAAATCAATAAAATTCTACAGTATTAAATTTTAGAATTAAAACATTTAGAATTAAAGTGGAATTTCTACTATTGAAATCCAAAAATCAGCCAGGCACAGTGGCTCACGCCTGTAATCCCAACACTTTGGGAGGCCCAGGCGAGCAGATCACTTGAGTCCAGGAGTTTGAGACCAGCCTGGGCAACATGGTGAAACCCCATCTACCTAAAATACAGATATTATCTTGGTGTTTTGATGCACCCCTGTAGTCTCAGCTACTCAGAAGGCTGAAGCAGGAGGATCGCTTGAGCCCCAAAGGTGAAGGTTGCAGTGAGCCAAGATCATGCCGCTGCACTCCAGACTGGGCAACAGAGTGAGACCCTGTCTCAAATTAAAAAACAAACAAACAAACAAACAAATCTCAAACTGGATGCATCTTTTATAATATGAGATTCTTCATATAGATAGGATTTTTCTGGAGAGGGCAGAAACAGCTAACAAAAACAAGTATAAGTACTCTGCATTGTTCTATGTGTGTGTACGTATATGTTGCAAGATGTAAAACATGTATCTAGAGAGAATATACACATGTATATACACATCAGGACATGCAGCTTAGATGATAAAGCTTTTCTATTTTATTATATCATAATTGCATGAATAAGTGTGTTGAAAATATAACAAAATGAACATAAACTTTTCTTTCTTTCTTTCTTTTTTTTTTTTTTTTACTAATTTGACATTTTATAAACACATGCTGAGTGCAGAAAGCCAAAGGTCAGAGTCCACTTTTGCTAGGAACAAAAGAGATTACAGAATTGAAATCTATACTTCAGTCAAAAATGTGTTCAAAAGTTCCCCCACAGCATCCGTGAAAGTCTTAGCATCACATAAATGCTGACTGCATCTCCAAGTGCTGTCGATTTTTACCTTAAAAATAGATTTGAATTCATTTACCACAGGGCACAGAGGAAAGGAGAATGAATCAGGAGGATCTCAAAGTGAAGATGCTTAGACACAAGAGACAGAAGACAAGCAGGAGGTAAAATGTAATTTTGAGGGAAAAAATCATAAAATAAGATTGGATTTTTCGGTATAATTTTTCTGAAAATGCAATTTGTAACAAGTTATATTGTCTGTAAAAGAATCCCTACTGCACTTCTAATGTGCTTTCTTAGTATCTGAAACATAAAAGCACATCAGAATACATCATGTGCAAACCATGGCATTAAACAGATTAGAAAAACTAAATGTCATACAGTAACATGGTTGGTTCTTGTGCGGTTAATTTAGTAGAAAGGCAGAGAATCGCTGCAGGAAACACTTTCTCCAGTTATGCACCCTGCAGCTAAAATACCTTGTATACCTTTTTTTTTTTTTTTTTTTTTTTTGAAGGAATAATAACTTTACTGAAGTGACAAATTTAAGGCTTATGTGGTTTTAGGATGGAACCTCAGCTAAATTATTCCTGAATTGGGTTGTGCATTGAGAGACACGGATGTTAGAATGGACAAGGCAGATTCTTTGTTCCTCTGTCTCTCAGAGTCCACCTTGGTTAGGCTCACTGTTGTGATCTATTCCAATGACATTAACATCTTGAGTAGAACTATCTTTATGTCATTGACCTCCCACTCAGTATATCTTCTTTTTTAGTTACTTAATTGTCTTTATTAACTACATGTCCCATCATTCATGCAGAATTGTAGCAAATATAAAAATCAAAGTTCCCCTAAATCGTCTCCTCATAAAATATGCTTTTTACTTCTTTTCTTTGGAAAAAAGTATCTAATTGACAAATAAAAATTATATATATTCAAGATGAGCAATACAATGCATTATAAACTGATTACTACAGTCAAATTAATCAACATATCCATCGCCCCCTGTAGTTATCTTGTTTGTGTGTGTTGGTTGGGGATGAGAACACTTAAGCTCTGTTCTCTTGTTAAATTTCATATAAGCAATCCAATATTATTAACTACAGTCACCATGTTGTACACTGGATCCCCAGAATTTATTTATCTTATAACTAAATGTTTGTACCCTTTGACTAACATCTCATTCCCATCAGCCCCATCCCTGGAAACCGTGAGTTTCTCTGCTTCTATGCTTAGTATGCTTTTTAAAGTCCTTGATTTTTACACAGCCTCATGATTCATGCACCACACACACACAAAAGTGTTTTCTACCTTTACTTAAAAAATAATACGTTGAGACCTGACATTATCTGGCCACCAGGTCAAAAAAGTTAAATTGAGCATCATGTATTCTCCCGAGGTCTTAAAGCAAAGTCTATCACTCCTTTTAATTAGAGTTTTTCATATGGGTTCTGACTGAAATCACCTTGGTTGCTTTCTCCAGCTCTCACCTGATTCTAATTAGTCCCGTTGGAACATTAACCTAGCTCCCCCTCCCAACCCCATCTCTGCCTCATGATTCATCTCATTAGAAAAACTGATAAGTGGGCTACTAATATCTGCTAGGTAAGATGTACAATTGTGAGCTCTACCACTAAGCAGTTTGCTAATGATAAAAGATGGCCTTCCTTATGGCAAGCATTACAGAGTATCGCTGCCTAATGCCCTTTAACTCGGGTAATTAAACACATCAACAGTAGAGATAATTTTTTCACAGTGGGAGTTAAGGAGAAACTGGAACAAAAAATATACCTTGCCTGGCAGAGCTGACATATCTATAAAGCATTTAAGCAGATTTAAGGTACTTTACATACTGGCGACTAAGCAGCAAGCACTCTCCTGGCCTCCTGAATTCAGAACAAAATGCACTTACATAAAATTTTAAACTTGAGCAACATTATGTGGCAGGCAGAATAATGGTCCCCTCCCAAAGATTCCCACACCCTAATCTCTGGAACTTGTGAATGTATTACCTTAGACAGCCAAAGGGACTTTGCAGATGAGATTAAGGCTATAAGGCTATGGACCTTCAGATAGGAGGATTGTCTTGGATTATCTGGGTAAACCAAATGTAATCACAAGAATGTTTAAAGGCTGTCGTAAGAGAAAGACTTTCTGACAGAAGAATAGTCAAAGAGATGCAAAGTTGCTGGTTTTAAAGATGGAGAAAAGAGACAAAGAAATGTAGTGGTCTCTAGAAGGTAGAAAAGACAAGAAACAGATTCTCTCCTACAGCTTCTAGAAGGAATATAGCCCTACCAGCACTATGACTTTAGCATGGTGAGACTCTGTGTTGGGGTTCTGATGGACAGAACTAAAAGATTAAAACTTTATATTGTTTTAAGCCACAAGGGTTGTAATAATTTGTTAGAGTAGCAATAGAAAACTAATACAGACAGGGAATTAGGAGAAAAGAGTTCTCAGGTGAGCAACCATGAGGGGCTTGTTCAAGGTTGTATTTGTGGCACTTGTCAGTGTTTGGTGCATAATAGAAGCTCAACAATTATTTGTAGAGTTGATGAATATTTATTGATATCCTCCTAAGTTTAGTGTCTTCATTTAGCTACTATGATAAAAGTTTATTGATACACTGTTTAATGATAAGAAAACAGAAGCTGCTGCAGATAAATTATTCATTTAGGCTACACAGAAATTGAAAACTCAAATCAGAGTTTGTTTGACATGCTAAGGTCTGTGGCTGCAAAATATTCCTGATTCCTTTAACTGTCAAATAACTTCCTAAACAGGGCTCTTCAAAATTTTGTTCTAGTCACTTGTGCTCCCTGTAAATTTTTGAGAGTGATAGCTGGACCTTTCCTATCTCTTAGCAGTAGGAGAATAGAATGAGAGTAATATGAAAAAGATACTTGGAGTTCTGCAAAGTGTATACTAGATAGAAATAAACTGTTAATGAACATTAACATCTATCTGGCACTATATCATAGCCAAGGATCTAAGACCTTTGCCTACTTTGACACATTTATTCTTCAGAATAACAATGAAAGGTAAGTCCTGTGGGTAGCCTTGCCTTGATAAGGAATGAGAGGTTTTTTTTAAAACAACAACAACAACAATAATGAATTAACTTGCTAGAGATCATGTTTTAGAAACACCACAAGTGGGATATAAACCCATGAAATCTGCCACCGCAGGTCACACATTTCACTGCCCTAAGTGGCCTTTACCAAAGGGGTCTCAGACACATGGTCTCTTGCCAGGATTCTTAGCCTTCTTTGCCAAAAGTTTCTTTAAAAATCTGATGAAAACTATGAGTCATCTCCTGGAAGAAGCATATTATAGACACATAAATTTTTATAAAGTGTATTATTTTGGTAATCAGAGTCATAAGATTTGAGATAACCATATTGGAAACATTCCCGGTAGAAAAGAAAATTAGGGATCTCAGATGTAGGATCACAATCAAATTAATTTTCTATTTGAATTTGATTTAATATGGACAGACATTATTTATCACACAACCAATTAAATACTTCATCTTTTTTCTTCTCTCATTCAATTCTTGACCTTTCGACAATGAGTTATGAGAGCTGATCACTCATGACTGTGAACACTAAGCAAAAAGCTATTATACTTCTAACCTAATGCATGAAATACAAAGATATATGTATGTCCTCCCAGGCAATGATGAGAAAGAAACACTAACAATTTCCCTCTCCATTTGAATCACAAATTTTGAAAAGATTGTGTATATTTAAAAATTTTATTGAACAAAACAACAATACAAAACACTTGAGAGCATAAAATATGCGATAAATCTCAGAACTTTTTTTGAGCTTCAATTCAACAGCATGTACTGGAACTGATTGTGCTGTTGTCATGTTAAGGAATTCTGAAATATTATGATTTGCTGAAAATCAGTGATCCATCAGACAGGGTCTGCAGATGTTTGGATAGAATGAGATGTTATTGCAAAGGCATAGGTTTAAGCAGCATTTGACCTACATTAGGATAATATACTTGAATACCAATGTCATTTGTATGGTTGCTGGAAGGGGTCTCGGCATTTGTCTGTATTCCTGCATTCAAAAACCACCCGTAAAAAACCCTCTTTCCTTCCATGTGCGGATGATTGAGATGGATCCTAGGTTACAAAAAATGAAAATCCAAATTTGCCTGGTAAGTGATTTTAAATATAGTATTGTACAGGAAAAGATGAACTAATTCTTTCTGTCTCCCAAACCCCTCTCATTTTACTTACATGGCAATGTACTATATAATTGCAACTCTTTAACTCTAGTTTCTAATAATATTTGATGCAAGAGAAAGCTTGTTAGAGAGTACTACTCCTATGAAGAAAGATATCATTTATTCACTAACTGGTCATCCAATTTTTATAATTGTGAAACAGGGAAAACATTATTAATTGCATATCTTTATTAAGGAATTGGGGAAAAAGATAATCATAGGACATGTGTTGATGAAAAGAGGCATTTGGAAATCTATAAAGAAGGAATACATGTGGCTTAAGAATGCAAAACAAATAATGGAATTTTGATATTCCTAAAGAAATATTGTTACCTATCACAATGTGAACATACTGAGGACTCTGCCATCAATATTTGTCAGTGGCCACTGTGGGCTGACTACTGGAGTGAATTATAAAACACATTTTTTGTTAGGATCCTTATTAGTGAAGAATTTGCATTAGCACCAAGTCGAGATTACCAGCTGTGAACATTTCACTCGTTAATAAAAAGAAGCGGCCGGGCGCGGTGGCTCACGCCTGTAATCCCAGCACTTTGGGAGGCCGAGGCGGGCGGATCACGAGGTCAGGAGATCGAGACCATCCTGGCTAACACGGTGAAACCCCGTCTCTACTAAAAATACAAAAAAAATTAGCCGGGCGTGGTAGCGGGCGCCTGTAGTCCCAGCTACTCGGGAGGCTGAGGCAGGAGAATGGCGTGAACCCGGGAGGCGGAGCTTGCAGTGAGCCGAGATCGCGCCACTGCACTCCAGCCTGGGCGACAGAGCGAGACTCCGTCTCAAAAAAAAAAAAAAAAAAAAAAAAAAAAAGAAGCAACAAAATAGAAAGCAACTCTTCATAGGCCATCACGGTGGGGACTACATTTATCCAGGAAGCTGTGTATTGTAAATCCACAATTTGATAATCCAATTTTGAAAACAATTACATTAGAAATTCCAAAACACAATAATAAAAAGTTAGGTTTATTATATGCAAGGGAAACTATGAGGAGTCTTGGGCTGTGTGAAGACCTCTCCATTTCTCAGTGCCCTTCTTTGCTTAGTTATGAATAGACATAATTTATATATCCCTGAGGAAATATGCTTTTACTGTACTCTTAGCATGTGAGGAGGGAAACTGTATAGAAACAGACTTTCTCCTATAGAGGATTGACCTATACATCCCGAATTTGGTTTAATTTTTTTTTCATTTCTAAAGACTTCATAGGCAACATCCATAGATATTTGGTCAGCGAGGGTCAGGGCTTGGGATGGGTAACTCTGTGCAGAACTTTACTAATATATGCAGATGAGATAGAAGGATTAATGCTGACTAGGGAGAGCTGATCGCTCATGACTGTGAACACTAAGCAAAAAGCTATTAAACTTCTAACCTAATGCATGAAATACAAAGATATATGTATGTCCTCCCAGACAATGATGAGAAAGAAATTGGGATGTGTTTCATCGCCTCTTCTTTTTTACGTGTTGTAACAAATTAACTTTAATCAGTTTATTTTTTGTTTTATTATATGTTTCCCTCCCCATAGAATGGTATAATGAGTTTGGGGGAAGAGACTTGATGAGCCTCTTGATGAAAGATGAGCTAAAAATATCTGTTTCATAGGACAGTCTGATAGCGCCTCGGGGAGTTCTTGATGAAAAAATGTACTGGGAGGAAGTAAAAGCTTATCTAAGCTTGTCCTTGGAGATTACAAGAAATTCAGAAACACAGAGTTCCTTCTGGCACCTAAGAAACTGATCATCTTTGTGCAAATAAGGATTTGATTTACGTTGCATGTGATACAGGAGAAGCATGGCAAAAGATGAAAAATACCTTATGGAGAGTCAACTGTGTTTATTTAATTGAAGAGGAGGGTATCTTTGAAGAGGAGGGCATGATACTCTCTTAAAAATATGAAAAGGACTGATAGTATTTTTCCTAACATTTATTATTTTGTTTTATTTCAGACTGAGTTTTGCTCTTGTCACCCAGGCTGGAGTGTAACAGCGTGATCTTGGCTCACTACAACCTCTCCCTCCTGGGTTCAAGCGATTCTCCTGCCTCAACCTCCTAAGTAGCTGGGATTATAGGCACCCACCACAATGCCCAGCTAATTTTGTTTTTTTTTATTTTAGTAGAGAGGGGGGCTTTGCCATGTTGGCCAGGCTGGTCTCGAACTCCTGACCTCAGGTGGTCCACCCACCGTGGCCTCCCAAAGTGCTGGGATTACAGGCCTGATCCTAACATTTAAATGCAGGTTCCTAATGTTTGGGACAAAACCAAAAAGTCTTGTTTCTGAGGGTGACAAGGATTCACTTCTGAGTGACTGACTAAAGTTTCATGTTCTCATGTCTCTGGCCATAAGATTTCTAGATCTACAGTTGGACCTTTTTGTTTCTGTCTTATCTTGATATTCCTCATTTCAATAAAACAGGCCTAACTTCATTATCTGACCCACTGAGATATACTTTCTACTAGATTTTCAACAATGCAGGCTTCATGGTTACCTGGGTGCCACCACTTTCATCAGACTGGAAAACCTCACAGCTGCTAGTCACAGAGTCACAGACTGATCAATAAAGAAGAAGAATTAGAGAGTTTCCTTGTGAATGGAGAAAAGATGTGCTCCAGGTTAGAAGTAGATGAAGAGGGACCGGGCACAGTGGCTTACGCCTGTAATCCCGGTATTTTGGGAGGCCGAGGAGGGCGGATCACCTGAGGTCGGGAGTTCGAGACCAGACTGACCAACATAAAGAAACCCTGTTTTTTGTATCTACTAAAAATACAAAAAAATTAGCCAGGCATGGTGGCACATGCCTGTAATCCCAGCTACTTGGGAGGCTGAGGCAGGAGAATTGCTTGAACCCGGGAAGCAGAGGTTGCAGTGAGCCGAGATCACTCCATTGCACTCCAGCCTGGGCAACAAGAATGAAACACTGTCTAAAAAAAAAATAAAAAAATAAAAAATAAAGTAGATGAAGAGGTAACAATTATAGGTGTAAATGAATGGAGGGAATCTCTGCTCATAAGATGATATTTTATGACAGCCAAAATCATTGCCTAGAATCACTATCCATGTGACGTTTAGATAAGCAATAACTTTTGTGACTCTCTATTTTTCCATCTACATAATGAAGATAGTACTATCAAATCCCTATGATTAAAATCAAATCAAATAATCCATGTTTTAGCCCTGTGCCACAATAAATTCTATTTATTGGTCTGTTATCTAATGCACATAATAAACAATCTCAAAACATACTGGCTTAATGCAACAATTTATTTTCATTTCTAAGAGTTCTATGGAATCTTTGTACTCAGCTAGAGTCTTCTTTTTTTACATGCTGGCTAGTTTATGTGTCAGTCAGCTAAGAGGTCAGCTCATGCTATCAACCAGAGTGCCCATGCCTGGCCTCTCTCTGTAGCTTGGACTTCTCACTGGCACAGTATTTGGGCTCCAGGAGCGAACATGCCAAGCCAGACCTAGACAGAAGGTACAAATTATTTTTTTAAGATCTAGTCTCAAAATTCCTAAAACACCATGTTTCTGCATCCTATTGGGCAAGGATGTTATTAAAGTGAGGCCATAATTACAGAGAGGGGTATTAGACTCGATAGCTTGGTAGGAAGAGCAAGTGTAAAGAGGGAAGGAAGGCATTGATAGTTGCTATCTTTTGAGAATATCTATAACAATTAATAATATAACAATAATAACAAAATATATTGCTGCTGATAAGAATGTTACTAACAGTTACTAACCACTGAACCTCAGTTTCTTCATCTCCAAAATAAGATTTTAGGCTGAGCACAGTGGTTTATATCTGTAACCCCAATGCTTTGAGAGCCAAGGCAGGAGGGTGACTTGAGGCTGGGAATTAAAGACCAGCCTGGGCAATATAACAAGTCATTATCTCTACAAAAAAATTTAAAAATTTAGCTGGGCATATTGGCGTGCACCTGTTGCCCTTGCTACTCAAGTGACTGAAGCAGGAGGATTACTTGGACCCAGGAATTAGAGATTACAGTGAGTTATGACTGCACCACTGAACTTTAGCCTGGGTGACAGAGGGAGATCCCATCTCTAAAATTAAAAAAAAAAAATGCCATTTGATTCAGCAGTCCCACCACTGGGTATCTACCCAGGGGAAAATAAATCATTATATGAAAAAGAGACTTGCTCATGCATGTTTATAGCAGCACAATTTGCAATTGCAGAAATGTGGAACCAACCCAAATTCCCATCAATCAACAAGTGTATAAAAAAACTGTGATTATATATATGTAATGGAATACTACTCAGCCATAAAAAGGAATGAATTAATGGCATTCACAGCAACCTGGATAAGATTGGAGACTATTACTCTAAATGAAGTAACTCAGGAGTGGAAAACCAAATATTGTATGTTCTCACTCATAAGTGGGAGCTAAGCTATGAAGATGCAAGAGCGTAAGAATGATACAATGGACTTTAGGCACTCAGGTGGAAAGGTTGGGAAGTGGGTGAGGGATAAAAGGTTACAAGTTGGGTTCAGTGTATACTGCTTGGGAGATGGGTGCACCAAAACCTCACAAATCACCGCTAAAGAACTTACTCATGTAACCACATACCACCTCTTGCTCAAAACCTATGGAAATAAACAATTAAAATAAATAAATAGATATTTGAATAAGATTCTTTACATAAAGTGCTTGGGATCGTCCCTAGAATATAGTGCAAAAGTCTTCTGTAAATAGTGTTGGTTATTTTAAAGAACATTTTTACTTGAATAGCTTTTTACCTTTGCTAGTAGTACCCAATCATATATAACTAAGAACAGATAGCTTTATAAATAACTTTTGTTTTTGATCAAACTTTCTATTTCCTTATTGAATATTTACCACTAGAACTTAGAAAATCAATAGATTTCACACATCAATCTCAACTTGAATGTGACAAACCACAAAATACATTTTAGATGTAATAATAAGCTGGCCTACATTTATTTATGACATAGGAAGCATGTAATATGTTTTTATGATTTTGGAAGCAAAAACATTGAAAATTATTATTTGATAATATTAAAGAAAAAAACCCCACATCTCATTTTTTCATACATAATGTTGGTGTACCATGTTAGAGGATGAAATCACGAGAAACATGATTGTGACATTTCACAGTAATTCTGCTTAGACTCAAGTTTTTTATTTTTTAAGTTTTAAAATGCTTTAAAAATGAGCCACAGGTGTGCCAGACCTAATATTCTTGGATTCCAGGGAAGTAATAACTATTTTGTTTCTCTTCCTCTACAGTGTGTTTGTTTTGATAAAAACTTTTACCTTCAACTGTCCTATGTAGATTCTCACTGTGCTACACACTGATGCAATGTCCATGTGATATAACCCACCATCACCACAAGAAGTAGAATAGAAAATGGGTTACTGAGCTGACATTGTCACAGACTCTGAAGAATTATGCAGAGTGCATCTATAAGTAGGAGAGAAAGGCAGCCCTATTACTTCTGGCCATTTAGGGCAGAGTCAAACTTTAACCAGTCTAACAAGCTTTTAGCTTGATTAATACTTTAGTTTTGCAGCAAAGAAGTTACAAATTGAAAATCTCTATTAGGTCATCTGGCTTGGCACTTCCACATTACAATATTTATTATGACATATAATTATCATCTGTAAGAGGAAAGGTAGAAAATTTGACCTCTGCCATCCACCATGACATGTCCCAATTTTCCACAGTTGTTAAAGCCATCACTGACAGTTCTTTTAGATTTCTTCCTCCTCTTTTCCCCATGTCCTGTGTTAATTTCTCATTGTTTTTGATTCAGAACCTTAAAAATAATGAGTCTTAAATGAAAGCAACATTAGTCTAATTGGCAGCTTTCTGTAACTCACCCACATATTTGCTGTAATAATGATGATTCTCCTTCAGATTCTGCATTCTGCTGGTCTAGCTTTCTTATTATGACAGTTTACTTCTCTCAACCCAAACATGTGGTCCTAGTCTGGTCCTTTCTGTCTTGCACCAGCACATTTGCAACAACACCTAAACAGTCTCCCTTTTTATTCATCTTTGTCTCCTTGAGTCTATTCTTTACACTGATACCAGGGTCAAGTATATAATATAAAAACAGAGAACAATCTAAAGAAATATGAGGAGGGTCATCTTTGACTCATCTTCCATCTCTTTTTGTACATATACAGCTCTTAGCTTTTGCATGTGGTTTTTATTTTTCCGAAAAGCATTTCTCCTTCATGCCTGACTCCTTGTCATCATCCTGATATGACTTGAAATGTGATTTCCTTAGAGTCAGTCTGTCTATAGCAGTGGTTGCATTCTTATAACATCATCTTGATTTATTCTACATAGTATCATGATGTCAATGAGTCATTATGTGTATTTGTTTAACTATTATTTATTGTTTCAACCTTCAATCAGAATGTGTGCTCTAAAGTGGTGATATCTTTTCCATTTTTTTTTAACACCAGTGCCTAGGACTGTACTAGATACAACTCAAGATGTATGTAATGAATTTATGAATGAATAGATGAAACAATGTAGTTTGAGATAGCAACATCTGAAATAGACTCACCTTTCACCCATTTGGAGCAGCTTGGAAGTAAAACTGTGATTCTCACCTTGGCTATGGGCTGAGAGGATATGATGACCACGTACTGGATGTGGACCTCAGCCTCTTAAGCCCCACCAAATTTTCAATAAGACCTGTAATCTATTCCCAAATAAAATAGTAAGAATAAGACAAAAACAAAAGCCATGTTTCTGTACTACCACTTTTCAGGCATGTTTTTTTGTTTGTTTGTTTGTTTGTTTGTTTGTTTTTGAGAAGGAATCTTGTTCTGTCGTCCAGGCTGGAGTGCAATGGCATGATCTCGGCTCACTGCAACCTCCATCTCCAGGGTTCAAGTGATTCTCCTGCCTCAGCCTCCCAAGTTGCTGGGACTAATACATTTATAATACATTCAGCAGAAACAAGAGTGTGGGGGCCATGGGACACTCCTGCCCTCTCCATGCTTCCTAAGTAACAATTGCAGAATATTTAGGTAAAGCCGGGTGTTATTAGGCAAAGCCCTTCCGTGCTGCCAGGGGTGGGAGCAAGGAGGAAGTGCTGTCGGGTCACCCCCTGGGGGGGGCACCAGCCCAGCCTTGCCTGCATGCCATGGGAGGCAGGCCAGAGGCCACTGGCACAGGGTGGTGGCCCCTAGACCATACAGCAGTGGGCATGGGAGGAGCAAATCTGAATGAGGATGGCCTGAGCCGGCCCCCTCACCTGGCTAATTTTTTGTATTTTTAATAGAAACGGGTTTTCATCATGTTGGCCAGGCTGATCTCGAACTCTTGACCTCAGGTGATCCGCCTGCCTCGGCATCCCAAAGTGCTGGGATTACAGGCATGAGCCACCACGCCAAGACAATTTCAGGTATGTTTTTAAATGGCTAGTAAAAATAAAAAACATTTTCTTATTAACTTATAAATAAGAATTAATGGGAAAAAGTGCACAGTATACCATGAGATTCGAGAAAACCACTCCGCCATAGAGAGCATGAGAAAGTGCCAAGAACCAAGTCAAGGTTTGAATTTCAATTCTTCCACTTCTTAAAGACCACACCCAAAGGGCCTGCACCCAGAAGGCTTCAGTCAGCCATTCATTCTTCCAGGGCGCTTTTAGGAAAAGGATTTTAGCTGGTGATTCTCCTTGCTTTTAATAACCCCAGCCCCGCCTGGAGTGGCTAGAAGCAGGCAGGCACCCATGTGCTACTGACAAGTGCCTGAGCTTCCTCCAAGCTGGGATCAGGCTGTGGAAGCCACTGTTATTTGTGCTCTCTGCCAAAGACGCGGGTGGGAGGCCTCACACCTGCCCTGTGCAGCAGGGCCAGCTCAGGCCGTCCTCATTCAGATTTGCTCCTCCCACGCCCACTGCTGTATGGTCTGGGGGCCACCACCCTGTGCCAGTGGCCTCTGTCTTGCCTCCCATGGCATGGAGGTGAGGCGGGGCTGGTGCCTGCCCCAGGGGGAAACCCGACAGCACTTCCTCCTTGCTCCCACCCCTGGCAGCAGGGAAGGGCTTTGCCTGACAACACCCAGCTTTGCTTAAATAGTCTGCAATTGTTACTTAGGAAGCATGGAGAGGGCAGGAGTGTCCCATGGCCCCCAGACTCTTCTTCGTGCTGAATGTATTATAAAGCCTTTGTTGCAATTACTTTTGGTGTTTTAGTCATGAAGTCTTTGTCCATGCCTATGTCCTGAATGGCTTTGCCTAGGTTTTCTTCTGGGGTTTTTATGGTTTGGGGTTTTACTAATTAAACTAAAGAGCTTCTGCACAGCAAAAGAAACTAGCATGAGAGTGAACAGGCAACCTACCAAATGGGAGAAAATTTTTGCAATCTATCCGTCTGACAAAGGTCTAATATCCAGAATCTAGAAGGAACTTAAACAAATTCACAAGAAAAAACCCCATCAAAAAGTGGGCAAAGGATATGAACAGACACTTCTCAAAAGAAGACATTTATGTGGCCAACAAACATTTGAAAAAAAGCTCATCAGCACTGATCATTAGAGAAACGCAAATCAGAACCACAATGAGATACCATCTCACACCAGTCAGAATGGCGATTATTAAAAGTCAGGAAACAATAGATGCTGGTGAGATTGTGGAGACATAGGAACACTTTTACACTGTTGGTGGGAGTGTAAGTTAGTTCAACCATTGTGGAAGACAATGTGGCAATTCCTCAAGGATCTAGAACCAGAAATACCATTTGATCCAGCAATCCCGTTACTAGGTATATACCCAAAGGATTATAAACGATTTCTTCTGTAAAGACACATGCACAAGTATGTTTATTGCCACACTATTTACAATAGCAAAGAGTTGGAACCAACCCAAATGCCCATCAATGATAGACTGGATAAAGAAAATTGTGGCATATATACACCATGACCTTGGAAGGTATTCAATAAATATTGATTCTCTTCCTCTCTCCTTCAATTCCTTATGTTATGAGTTGAATTGTGTCCCCAGCCCCAAAAAAATATGTTGAAGTCCTAACACTCAGTACCTCAGAATGTGACCTTTTTTAGGAAATAGGTTTGTTAACAGATATAATTGTTATGATGAGGGCATATTGAACTAAGAAGGGCACTTAATCCATACGATCTGTGTCTTTATAATAAGACAATGTGAAGACATACAGAGGGAGAATGTCTGTGACAATGGAGGCAAAGAGTGGAGTTTTAGCCAAGCATGGTGGTTCACATCTATAATCCTAGCATTTTGGGAGGTTGAGGTGGGGAGGACAGCTTGAGTTCAAAAGTTTGAGATCAGCCTGAGCAACATAGCAAAACCCCATCTCTTAAAAAAAAAAAAAAAATTACCCAGACATGGTGGTGTGTGACTGTAGTCCCAGCTACTCAGGAGGCTGAGGCCAGAGAATGGCTTGAGCCCAGGAAGTTGAGGTTGCAATTGTGAGGTTATAATTGTGCCACTGCACTCCTGCCTGAGTGAAAGAACAAGACCTTGTCTTAAAAATAAAAAATAAAAAAGATTGCAGTTATGCCACCACATGCTAAGGAATGCCAAAGATTGCTGGTGATAGCAGAAGCTAAGAGAAAAGCATGGAACAGACTTTTCCCTACAGTCTGACCCTAGAGAGCATGGCCCTAGTCACACCTTGCTTCTGAACTTCTAGACTTCAGAACTGTGAGATAATAAATTTTCATTGTTTTATGCCACCCAGTTTGTTATACTTTGACACAGAAAACTAATACACCCAGGAAGGCAGCTGCTGGAATATGTTCTCAGGCAATAGTATCTCTCTAATCTCTCAATTTTATCCCATTAATCTTCATCACATGTTTTACCACCTCAAAAAATAATCCTGTTTCTTAGTATTTGTGACTTCAGACACTGGACAGTTACACACCTTAGTTGTCCTTTTTTTTTTTTTTTGAGACAGAGTCTCACTCTGTCACCCAAGCTGGAATGCAATGGCACGATCTTGGCTCACTGCAACCTCCGCCTCCTGGGTTCAAGCAATTCTCCTGCCTCGGCCTCCCAAGTAGTTGGGATTACAGGCATGTGCCACCATGCCGAGCTAATATTTTGTATTTTTAGTAGAGACATGGTTTCATCATATTGGCCAGGCTGGTCTCAAACTCCTGAACTCAGACGATCACCTGTCTCGGCCTCCCAGAGTGCTGGGATTACAGGTGTGAGCCACCGTGCCCAGCCACCTTGGTTGTTTTTTTATAGCACATATTTAATTGCTGTAATATCTCATCATAAACCAATTTCTAAATTCCTTAAAACATTTCTAAAGCTAATCTTGCCATGATTTCCTATTGCAAGGAAATAGTTATTAACTGCCTTCAACAGAAAAATGTCAGCTAGCTTCAATCTCTGATATATTTACACAGATAGACTGTCTCCCTGCTGTACATCTGAAAAAGAAGCATATTACATTTTCTTTTCTTTTAATTACTAGTTTGAGGTGTGTTTGATATGTTCTTCATGGGCTGTAATCCATTGCATAGTCAGTGTTATTTGCAATGTATTTATTTTTACAGGGACACAAGTTTTTCTTCCAGTAGTGCTACTCTTTGATTTGTTACTTTTAAACTCTCAAAGCTGTTTAAGAAGGTAGTTGAGGACCTTTCTTCACAGTTTCTGCACAATCCCATACTCGACTTTCTTTTGCAACCATTTGGTGTCACTTAGAAATTTCCATAAGAAGATGTTTTATTGCTCTTCCACTGAAAAAGTCATATTCATGTTTTGGACTGATTTATCCCAGACTTCAGGCCAGCATTCCCTGAAAGGGAGTTATCATCCTCTTCTGACAATGTGGCATGCCTACCAAATGGTCTCTGAAAATAACCAGTCTGCAACAAATGATTCAAGTGCCAGGCACTATGCTAGGGCCCAGCATCCTATGTGAAGACAGGTATGGACCTTCCTTGATAGTGCTTCACTGTTTAATTAGGAAAGAAGACAATGAATGCATAATTGATAGCATGCAAAGTTTTATGACAAAAAGGTTTATAGATAACACAAAACAGAGCACTGTAACCTAGATTTGCTTGGTCGAAGAAGATTTATTTAAATAAATGATGTTTATGCTGAGTGCTCAGGGTAAATAGGTGTTAATCAGGTAATAGAATTCTCATAACTTTGCAATATATGTTTGTATCTATCTTTTATTTTTATTTTCAGATGAGAAAACATAGAGAAATGATATAAGTTTTGTCATATAGTGGCAGAACTGGGACTCCTGAGTCCTGTCTCTCCAAAGCCTTTGAACTTGACCACCACACCATACCCATATGCTTCCTGCTACCTGGAGTGCCTAGTCTTCAGTTTTACTAAAAGATCATCTAGAATGGCATAATTAGTAAAACCTTCTCTGATCATGAAGTTGCTCAATTCTGTAACCTGATCCTCCTCCTACAAAACTCATAGCTTTTAAAAATATTAATATTATTTTTAATTGACAAAACATAATTGTGTACAGTTATGGCTTACACTGTGATGTTTTGATATGCATATATAATGTAGGATGATTAAAGCATTAATTAACATAATTAACATAGCCATCACCTCACTCACCTATGATATTTTTATGGTAAGACATTTGAAATTTACTCATTTTGAAATGTAGCATACATTATTATTGAGTACAGGCATGCTGATGTGCAATAGATCTCAAAACTGATTACTCCCATCTCTCTGAAACTTTCAACCACTCCTCATTCCCTCTCTCTTTATCTTCCCACTCCAGCCTCTGGTAACCCTCATTCTACTCTCCAGTTCTATGAGTTCAACTTTTTTAGATTCCACATATAAGTGAGATCAAGCAGTATTTGTCTTTCTTCTTGTAGCTTATTTCACATAGCATAATATCTTCCAAGTCCATCCATTTGTATGTGTGTCTATGTGTGCCTGTGTGTGTATTATAAAAGAGATATGACTTATGAACACACACATATGTAAAAGCAAATTTATTCTGTGTTCGTTTTTACTCTTTTAACTAAATCTACATGTTTCTACTATTACAGAGAAACAGAGAGAGGGCTCTCAGAAACTGGCAAGGAGGAAAAGAAGAAGGAAGAAAAGGAAGGAAGGAGGGAGGGAGGAAGGAAGGAAGGAAGGAAGCAGGGAGGGAGAGAGGGAGGAAGGAAGGAAAGAAGAAAAGAAGGAAAGAAGGAAGGAAAGAAAGAAGAAGAAAAGGAAAGAAAGAAAGAAGAAAGGAAAGAAGGCAGGATGGAAGGAAGGAAGGGAGACAGGGAGGGAGAGAGGGAAGGAAGCAGGGAGGGAAGGAAGCAGGGAGGGAGGGGGGTCAATTTCAAATAAGGTTGAAACCAACTGATGCTTGTATCACCCAGAGTGCATAAAAGCCATGTGAATATAGACTCTTTTCTGTATATAACACTGACTTGAAAGTCACTTACAGATTATTAAGCATAAAACTGAGTAGCTAAACATTGGTTAACCCAACCAGGTGGGGAATATCTGACCTTCTAATTTTTGTGGGTATTTTTCTCAGACTTTCTTTCCAAAATATGAATAATGAGACAGTACTAAAAATTTTAACCTATATTTTCCGGTTGGAAGGTGCTTATTACTGAGAACAAAACAAAACAAAACAAAATTTTCTCTCTAGATTTAGTAAATTTTTTCTAATGAAATCTCATCTAACCATCGAACCCTGATTAGTCTCAAAATTATTAATTTGAGTTACAAAGATCTTACCTTAAGAACTTTCCATGTCAAAATAGAAAGGAGCCCACCTGAAAAAATAATAGATGCAATTGAAAAGATTAAAAAAACTCAGAAGGCTGGGGCAGTAATATTCGACTCTGTAAGAACCAAGTTAATAATTTTAAAAACACCAGTACTCCCTTACCCCAGTAACATAACACTTGCTGATAATAGAAGCATCAATTTACTATTGTATTAAGTAAAAAATGTGTATTTACCATAGCAATGCCTGCAAGACGTATTACATATTGCCCTTCAGAGATATGGAGAGAAATCTGGGGATGAGGTCTCTTAAAACAAATAGCAATTTATTTTTATGAAGCTTTTTCCCATATGGAAGACTAGATTTGAATCTCTCAAGAGTATTTTCCCCAACAATTCTGACACCATGTAGAAAGGGAACAAATGTTTCCCTAGGGTGTCTTTGCTAAGGCAAATGTTTTTCTGATTTCATGAAGTGCTTTTTTTCTATTCTCTTCTTCATGAGTTGCATAAAGAGATTTAGCCAGAATATATTCCAGAACAACAAGGACCTGCATGGTCTATTTTCTCCTGATCTTGGACATTGTTATGTGCTTCTCCTCCCTTTTCTTATTTGATTTCTGCTTGATGTTCTCCTTTCTCAGCCTAGAACATATCAAACCTTGTCATTTCATAGACCTTCGGGCTACTGTCTTACTCCATTTATGTGGCTATAAAGGAGAACCCGAGACTGGGCAATTTATAAAGAAAAGAGGTTTATTTGGCTCCAGATTTTGTAGACTTTACAAGAAGCATGGCATCAGCATGTGCTTCTGGTGAGGGCCTCAGAAAGCTCCCACTTATGGTGGAAAGAGAAAGGCATCACATGGTGAGAGGACAGAAGAATGAGACAGAAGAAGGAGGTGCTAGGCTCTTTTAAACAATCAGCCCACACGAGAACCAATAAGTGAGAACTCACCCATTACTGGAAATACAGTGTCAAACCATTCATGACTCAAACATCTCCCGCAAGGTCCCACCTCCAACACTGGGGATCAAATTTCAATAAAGTATAGAATCTAACGCAGATCTTGAGAAAGATAGATCCTCAAAATTGACTGGTTCTATCTATGCAAGATATTTATGATGTCCCCTTTGTGTTACTGTATTATTATTCATGTGGCTTTCTCTCTATATACATACATACATATATATATATATATATTTTTTTTTTGAGTGGGGACAATGTGTTCCCCTGTTACCTAGGCTGCAGTGCAGTGGTACAATCATAACTCACTGCAGCCTCTAACTCCTGGGCTCAAGCGAGTCTCCCACCTCAGCCTCCTGAGTAGCTGGAAATACAAACATGTGCCACTGTGTCTGACTATTTTTTTTTTTTTTTTGTAAAGGTAAAGTCTTGCTATATTGCCCAGGCTCATCTTGAACTCCTGGTCTCAAGTAGTCCTCCTGCCTTAACCTCCCAAAGTGCTGGGATTATAGGCAAGGGCCACCATGCCTGGCTACTCTTTACATTTTTTTTTTTATCACTAGCACTGTTAGTTTCATTCATACCACTATAATTATCTGTCTTATTTGTTTTGTTTCTTTTAACAATAATGTCAAAGACAGGGGTGATACCTTGTCCTTGTGTCATGGTCTATTAATAGAATGGTATTGAACACTTAATACCTATGAGTTGAGTAAATAAAACAATTCCTGTCTAGGCATGGTGGCTCACGTCTGTAATCCCAGCACTTTGGGAGGCTTAGGTTGGCAGATCACTTGAGATCAGGAGATCAAGACCAGCCTGGTCAACATGCTGAAACCCCGTCTCTACTAAAAATACAAAAAATTAGCTAGGCATCGTGGCGTGTGCCTGTCATCCCAGCTACTCAGGAGGCTGAAGCATGAGAATCATTTGAACCAGGGAGACAGAGGTTGCAGTAAGCCGAGATCACACCACAGCACTCCAGCTTGGGCAACAGAGTGAGACTCTGTCTCCGAAAAAAAAAAAAAAAAAATTATCTAACACACATATTTTCTCTGTAAGACCCATCTTAGCTTGCATGTATGCATACTAGACAGTGTTTTAGCACTATTCTTGGGGGACATTTTAAACAGGTAAATTGCCAAAAAAAAAAAGCACAAAATTTGAAAACTGTGGCACTAAATGGACCATGAAAAAAAACACTTGTTTACACTCTGATAGTGGAAACAATAAGGCAGAGCATCTCCTTGTTCAATCTCAGCTGTGAATATGTACATCAGGCAACACAATTTTTTTTATCACTCTATGCATGTCTATGAGTGACCACAAAAGTGTCCCTAATGAGTAGTGAGTAGACGAATAGAATTTCTAAATAATAAGCATGATCTATAGCTTATCTGAGGTCACAGGGTATTAAATCATGCTATTTAGGATTTGATTCTGAAATTCAGTGGCCTGCATTAAACATGCACAAAATGTATAATAAAATAAAAAAATCTAGCAAAGATATACTCACCATATTATTTTTATTTCCCTAAAGATCATGCTGGTGTGTGTGTGTGTGTGTGTGTGTGTGTGTGTGTGTGTGTGCATGTGTTGACATATTACACTTCAACAATGAGATATGTGACCAATTTTTTTTATTCTGTAAATTAGAAAAAAAAAATTGGAGAATTTTATTCTGGTCTCCTTTGGATATATTTTGTTTACTTTATTTACATAGTTATGATTCTATGTTAGTGTATGTGCAAGTGCTAAGCCTCACTTCTGCCCTCTGAATGTCTGCTGAAGTCTATTAACAATAGACAAATTAGCAGAAAAGCCATACACACTTATTAACGTGCACATAGACACAGGAGTCTTGGAACAATGATACTAAAAAAAAAAAGAAAGAAAGAAAAACCCACTCAAGATAGTTTAGGCTTAAATGCACTATTTATGAGGGAAAGAAAAAATGAGGGACATAGGCAATTTTGAGGAATAGTATATGATTTTCAGAGAAATTGAATGAGGTCAAAGACCAGACAATAATTTTTAAATGATTCTCTGTGGAGGCTGAATGGAACAAGCAGTGGGATGGTGAGGGGCAGAACTGTACTGCAAACAAAGGCTGTCTTATTATGCAGATAAAGTCTCTTACGATAATCTCTCATAGCTGCACTCGAGAATAAATCAAAAGTCTGTCTGGGAATGGTCACAACTTTTCATCTTTCCTCAGGTGCTAAATCTTTCCGGTTTATTTGATGAGATTCCTAGGCAGGAGCTCTTGTATTTCTTTTGGAAAGAAGTTCCCTCAATCAGTCAAGGAAATTCCAAAGAGAACTGGGGGTAGTGAGACAAGAGAAAATCAGAGAGTATTTAGTTTCGAGGCAGCTTCTAAAGTCTTTCCTTTTTTTTTTTTTTTTCATTCAAAGTGTTTAACATGCCAACAAACCATACTGTGGGGTATTATTTACTGAGCCTCAACATCATGATCTAATTTTATACTCTACGTAGAGAATAAAATTATAAGAAATTACTCAGAAATTCATTGCAAGTCAAATTAAGAAAATAACATGATGTGTACTATTTGAACTTTTTTTAGGATGTATATATAGGAAGTATCTAGGAAGATATAGATGGTGGTATAAATAAGGACAAATCATTGTTATATATCTGTATTTATATCAAGATAGATAGATAGATAGGTAGATCTTTACATACACTTAAAATATATGCCTGAAAAATGATTGTAAGGTAGTACCAATATGGTTTGGATGTTTTTCTCCTCCAAATCTTATGTTGAAATATGATTCCCAATGTTGAAGGTGGAGCCGGGTGGGAGGTGATTGGATCATGGAGCGAATCCCTCGTGGATGGTTTGGTATCATCCCCTTGGTGATAAATGAGTTCTTGTCCACTTAGTTCACATGAGGTCTGGTTGTTTAAAAGTCTGTGACATCCCCCTACTCTTTCTCTCTGTCTCTCTCTCTGGCTATGTGATGTGCTGGCTCCCTGTCACCTTCTTCTATGAATAAGAGTTCCCTGAAACCTTCACCATAAAAGCTAATCAAACACTAACATCATGCTTCCCGTACAGCCTGAATAACTGTGAGTGAATTAAATCTCTTTTCCTTATTAATTCCCCAGTCTCAGGTATTTCTTTATAGCAATGTAAGATTAGCCTAACGCAGGTACAAATTATGTATTTGTTTATTGAGATGTTACCCACAATATATCCTGAAAATTCTATGTCAATAAAACATTTATATCTACACTCTCATTTTGATGTCCATATTCTCTTCTACTTTATAAAGGTATTTAATTACTTTTGTCCATTTCCTTTTTTTTTTGACTTTCGATGTGTTTCCTATTACTCCTTTTAGAATTAATATCTTTATTAATACATGTTGAAACATTTAAAGCTTCTTTTCCCCTAGTGGATATGCTGGATCTAAACACATATATAATTTAGGATTTTGATGCGTATTGCTGTATTGCTTTATGTAAACATCTTAACCAATTTTATGCTTATTATAAATGTATAAAAATATATTTTCCAGGGCATAAACCAGATTTTATGGTAAACTAAATCAAATTATCATTTAAAATTTTGAGTTTATTTGACGACTAATGAGGTTGAATAACTTTTATTTCTTCTTTTAATTTTTTTTTTATGAAATCCCCTTTTATGTTTTGACATATGGAGTGCTTGTTTTTATTCCTAATTTGTCAGCCTTTTTTTTGTTCTTAAACGGTATTGTCAGGTTAGTTGGGGTATAATTACCACAGTAAAAGTCACTCTTTTTGGCTTACTGTTCTATGAGTTTCGACAAACTCTTTCAGTGGTGTAAAAATCATCCCAATAAAAATAGAGAATACTTCCATCATTTCAAATAATCCTCCGTGCTCCTTTTTAAATCAACCCCTCCTTTCATGTTTAGCCCATGCAAACATAAAATTTTTTGTTGTCCATACAGATTAGTCCTTACAAGAAAGTCATATAAATGAAATCATACAATAAAGTTTGTCTTTTAGTCTGCCTTCTTTCACTTAGCAAAATGCATTTGAAAATCATCAATGTTATTGTGTGCATCAATAATTTTTTTCTTACTGACTGCCAGATTGATCATTGAGTAGATTTCATTGCAATATGAATTTTAATATATATTATATAAATATAATATATGTAATGTATGTAATATTTAATATATGTTACATAGATGCTATTCAAAAGATTGATTCTACTTTAGGCTTGTACTAGCAAAATGTAAGAATTCTTGTTTAACATCATAGAAAATATGACTAGTTGAACAGGATGCTATATAATTTGGGTCAGAAAATACTAAAAATGTGACATACCTAGTTTGTGTCACCACTTTTCTTGTTGTAATTGTACATTTTTCTTTAAAAATAAGTATTTTATGCTGGAAACCCAATTCATTTGTCTTGTTAGCTATTAAATTCCATTGTTTCCACATGAGCAACTAGTAGATTAGGTCCATGAGCTGTAGCTCTTATTTTCTTTATAATATATTTATTTAGTTATATACTGCATTATTAAACTCTCTCCATTGAATTGCTGATTATTTAGATTATTTGGAAATAGAAAGTGAGAGATTCCAAATTTGTCTAAACTTACAGATACTGATAAAATTTGAGAAACAGTTAAACTGAGAAGTGAATCATATACATGATATATCCTATCATATATATGACATATATGAGAGAGAATATTAGTTGAGCATAAATTACAAAGAAGCAATAAGAAATATGTTTTTATGGAGCCCAAGCTTAGTGGCAGGATAAGAATGAAGATGTGAGGTGGAATCTCTAGTTACATGAGGAAGAAGCATAAGAGACAAAGGGAAGTAAGAGGCAGTTCACCAAGGCAGGGAAATCTTTGATCATATGTTTAAAACAGACAATAATCACACGAAATGGCTCTGTCTCTGGGAGGGGAAGATCTTACATTTTAATAGATAAATATTTAAGTAGCCTGTATAGACCTCTACTTGAGCCTATTTCTCTTCTACTAGATTGGAAAGCTTTCAAAGACAAGAAACACATCTTTTTAAAATACATTTTTTGCTAACATCTATATTGGTAAAGGGGATTTACAGCAAATGAGCACATGATATATTTCCTCCACATCGTGAGTTGGGGGATGTTGGTTGCAGTTGACTTTTTCTATCTGGTTGCTTAGGAACACTTCTTTCTAATTTCACCATTCTTCTCACTATTTTCTTCTCACCCCACCCTAAGAGATTTCTTTATTTATTTAACAACTATTGAGTGTCACGTACTATTTTAGACGCTAAATTGACTTCAAAGGTGAAATTTCACTGAATCTGCATGTTCCAAACTTTCATTAGTTATATTCTACTGCATTCGTGACATAATTTTTGAAATATTAGAGGAGAGTTCATCCTTATTTAGTGCTTTACAAATACTTATTATTTACTTAATAATTTTTAGCTAAAATGTTTATTTAATAATTTTTAGCTAAAATGTTTATTTAAGTGTTTTTAAATGAAATTTTATACTACTACCTGTTATGGAATGAATTGTGTCCCCCTCAAAAAATTAATACGTAATCTTCCTATTGTACATAAACATGATGATTGTGTTTCAACACTCATATGTGAGACATGCCTCTCACTAACGTTATTACAATGTTGGCACATTACCTGTCTGACATTTTCTATATACATATCAGATGTTGAAATCCTAACACCCATTTCCTCAGAATATGACTGTCTGGAGATAGGGTCTTCATTGAAATAATCAAGTTAAAATGAAGACATTAAGGTGGCCCCTAATCCAATATGACTGGTGTACTTATAAGAGAAAACTTAGATGCAGGCACATACAGAGGGTGCCTCTAAATGTATTTAAAGAAAATACATTTCTATTGTTTAAACCATCCAGTCTGTGATATTTTGTTCTGACAGCATTAGACACTAATACTCTACCATAATTGCAAAATCATTTCTACTTGCAATATAAAAATAATTATTAAAAATAAATGAAACTCTACTAAAAATTTAAATAATACCTTAAAGGGCCTTAAAAAATATATTCTTGTACCTCAGACGTTTACAATATGGACTGAGTTTTGGAATATCACCTAGGAAGGTAAGTGTTTACACACAGTTGGAGACAGGCATCAAGGCCACGATGCCTTTTCTAAAGCAGCTGCTTCTTCCTTTGACATTGTATTCATTCAACTCAGTATATTTGGAACTGTGTCAGGGTCTGCAGTCATTGTATGAGGGACCAAAACACCAGGGCCTAGGCAGCATTTAAAACTGGCACAGTGAAACTCTCTCCAAGGACCCTCCCTGCAGCCCCTGGGGCTACTTGCATCCAAGAAGCATTGAACTGAAGCAGGTATACAGTTCCTGCCCACGCCCCTCACTCCTGGCTGCCTCCAGCTTGGGCCCCTGCCTGGACACTCCCAAGTGAGATGTTGAGAAACTAGGCCCCTAGATCCAATTTGGGAAATTGGCTTGAGGCAATAACTGGAAAAGAAATAAAAGACTGGATGGTGAAAAATGATATGTAGAGAAACAAGGACAGCAGGTGGTAGCCTGGGAGACATCAAGAGGGAAAAACACTGAATAGAGGACAGAAGATGAATAGAAAGGAAGATCTTGAAAAATGAGATTTGAATGAGAAAAGCTAGAGGAAAATAGAAACACAGTCTCTACCCTTTAAAATGTTGATTCTTTTCCCACCACCTCCCTTTCTCATGCTGATCTGTCTTGGCCTCTGCATCATTCAAAGTCCATTGATGCCCTTTATCTTACCCTTTGCTAACCAGACTTGCCAGGTCCTTATTTCTTTGTCTCAGTCACCCTGCCTCACTCTTCTCCCTATTGTTATCTAGTAGATGAGGAGTGCACTCTGATGGCTCTATTTCAAATGCCATGAGGAATAACTATTATTTCTGATACTCTCAAATAATATCTAAATATTTTTAAAGCACTGATTGACTAAAGTCGATGTAGGATTTTCACAACTATGTAAAAATGTGCATCATTTAGAATGAATATGGTAAAGTTGGCTTTATTTATTAAAATGTACCACAGTCTAATACCCAACTACTCTACGGATGGCTGTTGTTTCCATCCAATTATATTTCACCATCATGAAATACATTCCGTCAGCCTATCTCAGTCATATCAATGAAAGAATTTCACCATTTTAAGAAAATACAATGATTTTTTTTAATAAAACAAGGCTTTCTGACATTGCCACCTTGATTACAAAATGATACACCACTTCTTAAAATGAGCAAGGTCCAGAAACAGAGAAGCTATTAGAAATGTATTCTCAGGATGATTTAATTATCCAACATCTTCCAACTAAAGCACACTAAGGAGTTATTTGCATATAAATTCTGTTGACAGTGTATTATTATCCTTACTATAGAACTGTGCATGAGAAAGGATACTTCCAATTACTAGCAGAAACATAAACAACACTATTTTTTAAGTGTATTTATTTAAATGTTGGTAAGATAAATATTTCTACAAATCCACAGTAGACTCACTGTAACTCTGGATATGCATTTATAAGCACATGGTGGCATACATTAGAAGTGTAGCCACTTCTTTTTCTTTTAGTTAATTTATTTTCTGAAGAAATTGTTGCCATTTTCACCTTTATAGTCAGTAATTAACAGACATCAATTCTGAATCAGCCACTAAGGCATTCTCAGGTTTCATACACACAATGAATCTGTGAGTTGGTATTAGCTGATCACTTGTGAACATGAAGAATGAGGCATAGAGAGATTATGGAGTTGGCAATAATGGTAAAAGAAATATCCAAGATTCAAAGCCTTGTCTGCTGGCCCCTAATCCATGCTTTTTCAGAAACACAAAAGAGTCTCTGTCTCTGTCTCTCTGTCTCTCTCTCTTTTACATATTCACAATGTTGTGCAATCATCACCACTTTCTAATTCCAGAATATTTCCATCAGTCCAAAAAGGAGCCACAATACCTATTAGCAGTCAGTCTCAATTCCTCCCTCTTCCCATACACTGACCACCACTCACCCACTTTCAGTCTCTATGGATTTGCTTATTTGGGATATTTAATATAAATGGAATCTTACAATATATTTCTGGATTCTTTCATTTAGCATAAGGTTTTCAAGGTTCATCCTTCTTATAGCATACAGCAGTGTTTCATTTCTTTTTATGGCTGCATAACATCCCACTGCGTGGATGTACCACATTTTGCTGATGGACATTTAGGTTGTTTTCTCTAAATCACTTTTAATAACATAATCAGATCAAGGTGTCACAAAAACAGTGAAGGTTCTGAGATTTTTACCTTACTAACCCACTAACAATTTAACATACCACAGTTTAATGGATGCCAGCAGAAGACATGAGACCCCTGGATCAGAGACACAGGGCTTTATTACTAATGGCACAGTAATTAGCATGAGTATCATTTTTGCATCAGTTCTCCTTCTCCTACAAGTTTCATGGAGGCAACCCTGAGAGGTCCAGTTGAAGCTGTGCATAGAGTGGATTTTCATCACAGAGAAAAAGCCTCAAGATTGGTGAATACAATTTTTTAAACATATAATAAACTGTAAGGAAGCCTTCCCAAACATTGGTCTGGAAAAAGACATTATCTCTTGCACTAGATAGTAAACAAACCTGCTCTGGTGACACTATCAGTATTTTCCAAGGTGTTTTGCTATATAGAATCCTTGAAAAGATACTCTGGAACCAAAGGTCATTCCACGACTATACTCACAAGATACTGAGAAACACAAGAGACCTGTGGAAAATTGTCTCCCAGTAGAGAGTGCTCTGTTGCTTTTCTAGTTTAATTAATGAAGTACCCACCAACAAATAGTTTTTGATATTTTATTGGCTATAATTTGCTTTTACTATCAATAAGATATATTTTTTTGTTTGAGTATGATTTGTTCTTGAGGAAACCAGCTAGCATTACAAGATTCTATTGGTCCACTACGGGTCAGGCATTGTACAGCTTGTTATATGCATTATTTTATTTAATTTCTATGATGACACATGCAAAAATTTATACTTTTCTCATCTTACAAATGAGGAAACTTCAGCTCTGAGAGATTAAGTGACTTGCATAGATGTTCACAGCTAGTAAAGGATGGAATCATGATTTAACACACCATGACTAACTGATTCCGAAGAAGTTTTTATACTAATATTTTATAATCCAAGGCAGATTGTGAATGTGCTGAAACAAACATATGAAAGCTAATGTTGTCATAAAAAAAGAGGTAGTTTCTTGTAGATAAATAAAAAATTGTGTATCACTAAGAACACAGAAACTGATCAAAGAAGTGTGTCTCTAGTTATAAGGATTACAGGTATTTGGTATGGCAGACATGTAGTATGGCTTGAATAATGACACAGAAAATTTACATATGACCAAAATGATGGAGGACCTTGAGTAACCTGACATCATGCTCAAAAGAGACTGAAGATAACAACTATTCCTTGGGAAGATACCACCAGCATCAGGTCTTAAGGTTCTGGCTTTTTGCTTTGCTCAATATAGAAAAATGGATATAGAGAGTATCCAGGAAGAATAGGGAAGAAACTTCCAGGTGTATTTATGCCGTAGGAAGTACAGATGTCTCATGTTTCAGTTCTTAAGATATTTGGGTGGCAAAAAAAAAAAAAAAAAAAAAAAAAAAAAAAAAAAATGGCTGCCAACAATTTGCTGTAGCTTCTATTTTTGTTCCTCACCAATTCAGACTTTGGGAAAGTAAAATAAAATCTTTTTATTGTGTGTCTAATACAATCAAAATATAATATATTCAAGCTGAATTTATGCTTATAATGTCTATTCAAGTGGCTTTCAAACTGTTTTTGTAATAACAAAATTTTGTAAATAATTTATTATGCTGAATTTCACTATATAAAGCAAATGGTGTGCTCAAATCTAAAGAGATGGATTAAGAACCAAAATTACTAGGCCATCCCTTTTCCATACATTGACTGCTGGAGCACCTTACAGGGATGCTAAATCTCTGTATATCTCAGTGCAAAAGTTGCCTACCTAGCCCAGTATCCTATCTTAGTACTGAGAGAACTGAGGCTCAGGGGAATGAAGCAGCATGCTAGTATGCTAGTGGTAGAATGAAGAAAATTTCTAGCTGAATATGGTACAGAATTCTTTCGGTGCCACTTTGCCAGCCGGAAAACTTCGTAGCCAGTAGCGCCTCTACCCAGGCTTTGCTCGAACCCATGGGCTTGCTTCGCCCACTCAGTCCAGCAGGCTGCGCTCAGCTCGCACTACCGGCCCAGCCAGATACGGTGTCCGCCTTGGCTCTGCGCTCGGCCCACGGTTGGTCCAGGCGTGCTGCGACTGGCTTCTTCCTCGGACATTGGCGTCTGAATGAGGGGGACGCAACAGCACCCAAAAGCTTGGAGACTCCAGCAACCGTGGAGGCCCAAGAAGCTGTTAGAGCATCTGCTCGGAGAGTCGCGAGGTCTGAGCCACCAGGGAATGCCACCGTTCTCTCTCTCTTTATTTATTTATTTATTTATTTATTTATTTATTTATTTATTTATTTATTTTTTGAGACAAAGTCTCACTCTGTCGCCCAGGCTGGAGTGCAGTGGCAAAATCTTGGATCACTGCAACTCCGCCTCCCAGGTTCAAGCAATTCTCCTGCCTCAGACTCCTGAGTAGCTGGGATTACAGGCACCTGCCACCACGCCCCGCTAATTTTTGTATTTTCAATAGAGACGGGGTTTCGCCATGTTGGCCTCAAACTGCTGACCTCGTGATCCGCCCGCCTCAGCTTCCCAAAGTGCTGGAATTACAGACTTGAGCCACAGCGCCCGGCCCGTTCTTTCTTTAATTCCTCCTGCTTGCAGCTCAGCAAACGGGGGCATGTTATAGCTCATTTGCTCCCGCAGCCTGTGGCTTGGCTAATGGGGGAGTGTTATAGCTCTGCCGTGGGGAGTCCCAAGGTCTGGGCCTCCAGAAGGGTTGCAGCTCCTCACTCCTGTAGTCCAGCGAACGGGATCATGTCACAGCTCTTTTCTTTTATATATTTTTTTCTTTCTTTTTTTTTTTTTTTTTTTTTTTGAGGCGGAGTTTTGCTCTTATTGTCCACGCTGGAGTGTAATGGCGCGATCTCCGCTCACTGCAACCTCTGCCTCCTGGGTTCAAGCGATTCTCCTTCCTCAGCCTCCTGAGTAGCTGGGATTACAGGCGTCCACCACCATGCCCGGCTAATTTTTTGTGATTTTAGTAGAGATGGGGTTTCACCATGTTGGTCAGGCTGGTCTCGAACTCCTGACCTCAGGTGATCCACCTGCCTTGGCCTCGCAAAGTGCTGGGATTACAGGCGTGAGCCACTGTGCCAGGTCATCACAGTTCATTTCATTCACACCGCCTGCAGCTCAGTGAGCCTGCGAGGAGCATATTACAACTGTTTTATGCTCCCACCGTTTGTCAGGTGCCAGGTTCTCCTCCCGTGACCAAGAAGAATGAGGTAGGTGGACATCAGAGAGTGAGCAATGCAGAGAAGAATTCTATCGAGCAACAGAAAAGCTCTTAACAATGAGAGAGAACTCAAAGTGGGTAGCCTTCTGTGTGAGAGGGGGCCCAAAAGCGGGTAGCCATCTGTGTAGCTGAGTCTGGGGTTTTTATAGGTTTGGAATGAGAAGGCACAGGCTATAGGTAGCCTTGGAAAAGGCAACATTGGATTGGTTAAAAGCATTATTCAGAAAAAACCAACTGGGAAAGAGTGGGCCAATAGAAATAGAAGTTCTCACTCCAGTCGTGGATTCTATCTGGAAATGGCTTGGTTTTCAGGCTTTAAGTTGTCATTGGTTTGAAGGTCGGGTTTCACCAGGGACCTCTCCTAGTCTGCCTAGGAATTTCTCTGTCTCCTGTCACTATCAAATATATTTAAATTAATGTTTATTTAAAGAATCTGTCAAAAAAAATAAGGTAATATTGTATTTATGCATGCCTATTTGCATGTTTCTGAATTATGTCCTGTTTGGTTATTTTTGAACATCTTCAGAGAACTACTTTATTTTTCATTTTCTATTCTTCTGAAAATATTAGAGACACAATAAATGAGTATTAAGTGAATATAGTTTGGAGTAAAAAGGGTCCTTTTTTATATCCCATCCTTATTACTTTGAACAATTTGCTTAATCTTTCTGAGGCTTAGATTTTAAAAAAATTGATATATAAAAATTATACATGTTTATATGGTACATGTGATATTTCGATACATGCATACAATGCGTAATGATCAAGTCAGAGTAGTTAAAATATTCATCACCTCAAGCATTTATCATTTTTTATCTTGGGAATATTTCATATCTTCTCTTACAGCTATTTTTAAATATACTGTATATTGTTATTAATTATAGTCAGTCCATTGTGCTGTTAAACACTTGAACTTATTCATTCTATTTAACTGTATGATTGTACTCACTAACCAACCTCTTCTCATTACCTGCACCCCAACCTTTCCCAGGCTCTGGTAACTATCATGTTATTCCATACCTCCATTAAATCAACTTTTTAACCTTCCACATATGAGTGAGAATATGTGATGTTTTTCTTGCTTTACTTGGCTTATTTTACTTAAGATAATGACCTCCAGTTTCTTCCATGTAGCTGCAAATAACAGGATTTCATTATTTTGTATGGCTGAATAGTACCCCATTGCTTATAAATGCTACATTTTCTTTATCTATTCATCCATTGGTGGACACTAAGGTTAATTCTGTATCTTGGCTTTTGTAAATAGTGCTGCAATAAAGACAGGGGTACAGATACCCCTTTGATATACTGAGTTTAATTCCTTTGAGTAAGTACCCAGGAGAGGCATTGTTGTATCATATGGTGGTTCTATATTTAGATTTTTGAGGAATCTCCATACTATTTTCCGTAATTGATGTACTAATTTTCACCAACAATGTATAAGAGTTGCCTTTCTCTGCATCTTCGCCAGCATCTGATATGTTTTATTTTATTGATAATAGCTATTCTAACTGGGGTAAGATGATATTTCACTGTGGTTTTGATTTGCATTCCACTTATGATTAGTGATGTTCCGCATTTTTTTGTATACCTGTTGGCCATTTGTATGTCTTTTTTGGAGAAATGTCTATTCACATTCTTTATTCACTTTTTAATGGGATTTTTTTTTTTTTTTTGCTGTTGAGTTGTTTGAGTTTCTTGTACATTCTGGTTATTAGCTCCTTGTTGGATGAACAGTTTACAAATATTTCCTCTTATTCTGCAGGTTATCTCCTCATTCTCAATCATTTCATTTGCTGTGCAGAAGCTTTTTAGTTTAATATAGCCTTAGTTGTCTATTTTTGTTATTGTTACCTATGTTTTTGAGGTTTTAGTCATAAATTATTTGCCTAAACAAATATATTGAAGCATTTCCCCTGTGTTTTGTGGTAGTAAGTTTATAGTATTGTGTGTTACATATGGGTCTTTGATCCATATTGAGTTGAGTTTTGTATGGGGTGAGAGCTGGGGGTCTTTCATTATTCTGCTTATGGATATCTAGTTTTCCCAGTACCTTTTATTGAAGAGACTGTCCTTTCCACAGTGAGCGTTCTTGGTACTTTTATCAAAAATCAGTTAGCTGTAGATATGTAAATTAACATCTGGGTTCTCTACTCTGTTCCATTGGTCTGTGTGTTTGTTTTTATGCCAGTATAATACTCTATTGGCTATATAGCTTTATAGTATATTTTGAAGTCAGGTAATGTGATGCCTCCAAGTTTACTCATTTTGCTCAGGATTACTTTGGCTATTTTGGGTCTCTGTGGATTCATATAAATTTTAGAATTTTTTTGTCTATTTCTGTGAAGAACGCCATTGGTATTTTGATAGGGATGTCACTGAATCTGTAGATTTCTTTGGATAGTGTATTAGTCCGTTTCCACACTGCTATATAGAAATACCTGAGACTGGCTGACTTATAAACAAAAGAGGTTTAATTGATTCACAGTTCCTCACAGCTGGGGAGGCCTCAGGAAACTTATAATCATAGTGGAAGGGGAAGCAGACACCTTCTTACATGGCAGCAGGAGAGAGAAAGAGTGAAGGAGGAACTGTCAAACACTTATACAATCATGAGATCTTGTGAGAACTCACTCACTATCACAAGAACAGCATGAGGGAAACTGCCTCCATGATCACATCATCTCCGCTGGGTCCCTCCCTTGACATGTGGGGACTATGGGGATTACAACTCAAGGTGAGATTTGGGTGGGGTCACAACAAAATCATGTCAGATATTATGGTCATTCTAACAGTATTAATTGTTTTAATTAAATTAAAATTCATTTAATTTAATTGTTTTAATTTAATTAATTGTTTTAATGAGTATGGGATGTCTTTCTATTTTAAGGGGTTCTCTTCAATTTCTTTCATCAGTACCTTTGAGATTTTCTTCTAGAGGTCTTTCACCTGCTTGGTTAAGTATATTCCTATATATGTTATTATTATTATTTTGGAGCTATTGTAAATAGGATTGCCTCCTTGATTCCTTTTTCAGTTAGATTGTCATTGGTGTCTAGAAACACTACTGATTTTTGCATGTTGATTTTGTATCTGCAACTTTACTGAATTTGTTTTAGTTGTTAAGAGGTTTTTGATGGAGTCTTTAAGTTTTTTGACATATAAGATCACTTTGTCTGCAAAGAGGGATAATTTTGCTTCCTCTTTTCCAATTTGAATGGCTTTTATTTCTTTCTTTTGCTTGGTTGCTCTAGCTGGTACTTCAGTACTGTTGAATAACATGGGGAAATTGGGCACATTTGTCTTGTTCCAGTTTTTCAAGGAAAGGCTTTCAGATTTTCCTTATTCAGTATCAGGTTAGCTGTGATTTTGTCATATATGGCCTTTGTTATGTTAGGGTATGTTCCTTTCATGCCTAGTTTTTTGAGAGTTTTTGTTATAAAGAGATGTTGAATTTTACCCAGTGCTTTTTCTGTGTCCATTGAGATGGTCATATCGTTTTTGTCCTTCATTCTCTTGACGTGATGTATTACATTATCGACTTGCTTATGCTGAGCTATTCTTGCACCCCTGAGATAAATCCCACATGATCTGTGTATTATCTTTTCATTGCATTGTTTGATTCAGTTTGTTAGTATTTTGTTGGGGATTTCTGCATCTATGTTAACCAGGAATATTGGCCTGTAGTTTTCTTCTTGTTTTTATCTGGTTTTGTTATCAAGGTAAACCTGGTTTTGTTACTAAGGTAATGCTGACCTCATAGAAAGAGTTAAGAAGGACTCTCTCTTCTTCAATTTTTTGAAATAGTTTGGGAAATGGTATTATTTCTTCTTTATCATTTTGGTAGAATTCAGTCATAAACTCATCTGGTTCTGGGCTTTTATTTGTTAGGAGACATTTTATTTGTAAGTCAATCTTCTTATTATTGATCTGATCACAGTCTCTCTTTTCCTGGATCAGTTTTGATAGGTTATATGTCCAGGAATTTACCCAGTTCCTCTAGGTTTTACAATGTGTTACCATGTGGTTTTCATTATAGTCTCTGATGATCTTTTATATTTCTGTAGTATAAATTGGAATGCCTCTATTTTTGTTTTGTTTTGTTTTCTTTTTTTTTTTTTTGAGATGGAATCTCACTCTGTTGCCCAGGATGGAATGCAGTGGTGCAATCTCAGCTCACTGCAACCTTCACCTCCCGGGTTCTAGCAATTCTCCTGCCCCAGCCTCCCGAGTAGCTGGAATTACAGGCGCACACTGCCACACCCGGCTAATATTTTGTATTTTAGTAGAGACGGGCTTTCACTATGTTGCCCAGGCTGGCCTCGAACTCCTGAGCTCTGGCAATCCACCCACCTCGGCCTCCCAAAGTGTTAGGACTACAGGTGTGAGCCACCACGCTCGGCCAATGTCTCCATTTTTTTTTTTCTAGCTTTATTTATTTGGGTCGTCTCTCTTCTGTTCATAGTTAGTCTAGCTATAAGCTTATTGATTTTATTTATCTTATTATTTATCTTATTCATTTTATTTATCTTCAAATTTCATTTGTTGATTTTGTATATTATATAATGTTCATCTCTTTCATTTTTTATATTTAGTCACTATTTTATTCTGTATTATTTTAGTCTCTATTTAATCTAGTTCTATTCTGATCTTTATTTCTTTCATTCTACTAATTTTAAGGTATTTTGTCATCGTTGTTGCTTTTCTACCTCCTCAAAGTGCATGATTAGGCTCTTTCCTTGAAATATTTCTACTTTTCTGATGTAAGTGTTTATTACTATAAACTTCCCTCTTAGCACTATTTTTGCTGCATCCCATAGGTTTTGGTGTTGTGTTAATATTTTCATTTGTTTCAAGATTCTTTTTATTTTCTTCCTAATTTTTCATTGACTCAGTGGTCATTCTGAAGCATGTTGTTTAATTTCCATATATTGTACAGTTTTGAAAATTCCTCTTGTTATTGATTTCTACTTTTATTCCATATGGTGTGAGAAGATACTCGATATACTTCTGATTTTTAAAAAATTGTTGAGATTTGTTTTGTGGCCTAATATATGGTGTATCCTGCAGAATGTTTCATGTACTGATGAGAGGAATGTGTATTCCAAAGCTGTTGAATAAAATGTTCTGTAAATGTCTGTGGTGTTCGATTGGTCTAAAGTGCACTTTAAATCCAATATTTATTTGTTGACTTTCTGTTTTGATAATCTGTTCAATGCTGAGAGTGAGGTGTTGAAACTATTATTATATTGGAGTCTATCTCTCTTTTTACATCTGATAATATTTGTTTTGTTTATTTGGGTGCTTTGGTGTTGAGTCCATATATATGTTTAAAATTGTTATATCCTCTTGCTGCTTTGATTTATTTATCATTATAGATATCTTTATATATCATTATAAAGAGACATTTGATTCATTTTACAGTTTTTGACTTAAAATCTGTTTTATCTTATATAAATATAGCTACTCCTGCTTGCTTTTGGTGTCTGTTTACATGGAATATCTTTTCCATCCTTCACTTCCTGTCTTTGTGTCATTATAGGTGAGGTAAGCTTCCTACAGGCAGCATATAGTGGGGTATTATTTTTTAATTCATGCATCCCGTGTATATCTTTTAAATGAGAAATTTAATCTGTTTACATTTAAGATTATGATTAATAGGTGAGGACTCTTGTCATTTTGTCAATTGTTTTCTGGTTGTTTTGTACATGCTTTGTTCCTGTCTTCATCTCTCATTGTTCACCATTGCAATTTGGTGACTTTTTTAAGTCGTAACTTTTGAATCCTTTCTCTTTCTCATTTCTGTGTCTGCTCTACCAGTGAGTTTTATACCTTCATGTGTTTTCATGATGATAGACATTGTTCTTTTGCTTCCAAATGTAGGAAATTTTTAAGCATTTCTTTTAGGGTCAGTCTAGTAGCGGTGAATTCCCTCAATTTTTGCTTGTATGGAATAAGCAGACTATATTTTTCCTTCATTTTTAAAGAACAGATATGCCAAATATAGTATTTTTGACTGGCAATTTTTTTTTTAAATTTCAGTACTTTGAAATACAATCCCCTTCTCTCTTGTTCTGTAAGGTTTCTGCTGGGAAATTGTACATTATTCTAATTAGGTTTTCCTAATATATGACTTGGTGCTTTTCTCTTGCTGTTTTTTAGAATTTTTCCTTTGATTTTGATAGTTTGAGTATAGTACCTTGGAAAAGTCCATTTTGGGTTAAATTTATTTAAGGACCTTTGAGTGTCTCATACCTGGATGTCTATATATCTTCCTTGATTTGGTAAGTTTTTAGCTATTATTTTGTTCAATAGATTTTCTAGGCCTTTGCCCATCCCTTTTTCTGGAACATCCAAAATATGAATATTTGATTACTTTATGGTGTCAAATATGTTACGCAAGTTTTCTGTTTTCTTTTTTCTCGTTATTTTTGTCTGACTGAGGTTATTTTAAAAGACTTGTCTTCAAGTTCAGAAATTCTGTCTTTTGCTTCATTCATCTAGTCTATTGTTGAAGTTGTTGACTGTGTTTTTCTTTCATTAAATTCTTCAGTTCCAGGGTTTGTGGTTTGCTCTTTTTCATGATCTAACTCTTTGGTGGATTTTTCACTAAGTTCATAAATTATTTTTCTAATTTCTTTGTATTATTTATCTGTGTTCTCTTGTGTCTCACTGAGCTCATTTTATACTACGATTTTGAATTATTTTTCAGGAATTTTATATATTTTATTTTCACTGAATCTGTTGCTAGAGAAATATTACATTCCTTTGGAGGTGTCACGTTTCCTTGCTTTTTAATTTTGTTGTGTGTGTGTGTGTGTGTGTGTGTGTATCATTATGTTCATATCTGGACATATAGTATAATAGTCCTTTCTTCCAATTTTATAACTTGGGTTTTGTAGGAAAATACATTTTTTTTATGTATGTGTCTCTAGTATTGGTTGGGCAGTGTGCTTTAGCTCTGATTCTAGGTGCAGAGCCTTGTAGTCTTGTAGTCTCTATGTTATTTATACAGCTGTAACTAGCTTTAATCATATTTGTGATTTCCTCAGTGGGTTAGCTGTGCTTATTAGTGGAGGCTATGCTGAGACTTTGCTGGGGTCAGGGACACAGGCAGGCTGGTCCTTAGTGGTGATGGTAGGGGGTTAAGTATGCTAATCCTTGGGTCCCCAGGTGGTATACATGGGCACCAGAGGTAGCAGGTCCAGGGAGGCCAATACTTGGGCCTCCAGGGGCTTTCCCAGGAGAGGACAGTGGGAGCAGTTAGCTGGGAAGTAGGCAGGCCATCAGGCCCCTGAAAAAGCATTCATAGTGTCAGTACTGGCTATAGTGGCAGCAGACAAACCCTTGGATCCCCAGGCAGCATGAGTGGAAAGCAGTGGTGGTGGCAACATGGTAGGACAAACAGTCCCCAGATCCCCACATGGTATGTATGAGTGAATGCCAGTGGCAGTGGTTGTAAAAGGTGGGTGGTCCCTTTCTTAGGCCTCCAGGAGAAATGTGTGCAGATGCTAGCAGTGGTGGATAGGGTGGGTCAGTCCTCAGGTCCCTGGAAAATGTGTGTGGGCACTGGCATGCTGGGTGGCCCCATACTTAGGCCCCTGGAAGGCAGTGGTGGCAGGCAGGGTGGGTCCATCCCCAGGACCCTAGAACACATGCATGGGTACTGGCAGGTAGCAGCAATAGGTGGAGTAGACCAGTCCTCAGGCCCCCATTGTATCCACAGGTGCAGGCAGTGGCTGGTGGAGCTGATCAATGCCTAGGCCCCCAGAAGATGAGTGCAGGTGTGAATGGCAGTAGGCAGGGCAGAGCAGTCCTCAAGCCCTTTTATGACACACTCTGGCACTGGCAGGAAAAGTGTTGCAGGTGGTGGGCCTGTCCTCAGGCCCTCCAGTGGTATGCATGGGAGCAATGATCCTTAGATTTCTATCTGTAAGGTAGAGATAATAATACTATTTGACTCCTTAGGTTACAGTAATTATCTGGTAGTATAACATATGGAGAGTTTCTAGCATAAAGCCTAGAATATAGAAGGTGTTTCATTAATAAATGCTATTTTCCTGAAGATAATGGTTTTCTATTTGGACCATACACTGGGCTATCTATCAGGTGACATGAGTTATAGGCGTATATTTGCCACTAACCAGCTATGTTACCTTGGGACAAGTTACTAAATCTCTCTTGTTCCTAGTTTATAAACCCAGAAAAAGTTCTGTGTCACTTTTTCCTCCAGGGTCGCTGTGAGCACATACAATTCTATGAATTTTTATGACTTCATACTAGGTAAGAAGTAGCATTCATTTTACTTTTAAAGTGTCCTTTGGTCAGGTACTTCAATGGAAAGTCTTGTTTTGATTATTAAAACCTTTTCATAATTCATTGCATATTCAAAAAAAGAAACTCTTTTTATAACTCATAAAATTTGAATACCTGATTAGTGCACATTTCATATCTGTTAATTCTGCATCTGTATTTTCACAATTTAGCATATAGATACATTTGGTAGTCAATTCTGTATTTATAAAGATATATATATGTATGTGTATATATGTGTGTGTGTGTGTGTGTGTGTATATATATATATGTATATATATATACACACACATATATATAGTAGAATCAGAAAGATACCTTTACTGACATTTTGTAGCCCCAATTCTTGATGTCAAGGTCAAGAATTTAATAAAGATCACAGGCAAAATCTGAACAAAATACTAGTCCATTTGGACTGAGCTCATTCAGAGGATGGTGACCATTTCTTCTGCTGAGCTTGGTGAAGGGAGTGGAGAAAAAGAGAAGTGGAGATGACATAGTTAAGCTTTGCCATTGATCACACCAGTCTTATTGTCAGATTCTTCTTCATTTATAGCAACAGTATTTGTGTATGCATAATTGGCACTCTGGCAACATACAGGGCCTAGCACTGCAAGTGGAAGCCAAAAAGGTGCTGTGCTGGAAACAAAATCATGAAGGGATAATAGAAGTACTGGAGAGTGGATTAAGGTCAACCTATTGATACCAATATTGTACTTGCACTATGGTCGGATCATGGATTTGTTACCTTGTCCTCTTCTTTCCTGTGATTTTTTTTCTGCAAGATTTGCTTATATGAAGCTTTAAAAAAATCCTAAATGTGAACATAATATACTGACTCATATCTATCCCCAAAGCCCAGCATTTAAGTTGTTGCTTTATTTCTTACATTCTGACCCTAAGAGGCTTCATACTAAAAGAATTTTGGACACTGAGAAAGGTGCAAAGACTTGAAAGCATCCTTTGAATAAATATCAGTAGTAGCAAGTCCACAATAGATTCACCTACTGAGATTGCCAACACACATTCCTTAGAATCATGAAAGTCAAGTCCATGCTGGAAAGCGAAACGCTGCCAAAGACTATTCTTTAAAATGGCCAGCAATACTAATTTCAATCACTAGTGTATGTGCCACTTGTCTTCATTATTTGACTTGCTTTTTAAAAATCTATAGAATAGGCATCTATTCAATCTGCCTCAGAATATTTTGAAAGCTTATAGTAAAATAGTACAAATGAAAGTACTGGGAAAAGGTCGATATGTGGATTTGCAAAATATCTTTTAAAAAACAGCTAAAACAACTGTTATTTTTCAATTTTCCTACGTGTGTTTAGAAAAAATCATTAAGAGATGATCATTTGGGACCCTATGGTGAAATAGGTGTCTCTGGAAGCCCACTAATGTGCTATTTTGTAGCTGGAATTCCACTGTTACCCTTCCAGAAATAAATTCCTGCTGTTATCATTCTGGAGAACAAAGCCTTGGCTCTAGATTTGTGTTTTCCCTCAGATATCGTTGTTATTTCTTGGAATCCATGAATAAACTTCTTCATCCCCTTACATTTCAATGGTTTTACTTTCTATCTCATCTTATCTCTTAGTGTTGTGTTGTTTGAGTTCAACACAGCAGCAAACCCAAGTACAGAGATGATATTCAGGGGAAGTTCATAAACAGCCAGAGATCCTTGAGGGCTCTTTGATTTCCTTGCCACTCTTTTATTTTAAAAACAAATTATTCTCCTTGGCCTTCAGATACCTATGGTGTCTCTTTTGTCAAAGTTGACCCTCTAGCCTGTCTGGCACTCCCCCTTAAGCCTTCCTTCCTGAACTCTGATCTCTGTCCTGTGGCTGAGATCTTGGTTCTTCTCCTTGGAATAATTCTCCTGCAAGCTCTAATACATTCGGCTTGTAGCACCTAAGAGCAGATTTCTTTTTTGGTAACTGATATTCCTCCAAAGAGAGTTCACTGAAACTAAAACCCACTCCTTCGTGCCACTTCACTCTGTCACCCACTAACTGATCACTATAATATAGTAACCTCTTGCATAAAATTGTACCTCAGTCATGCAACAATCATCACTAGCCTCAAACCTAACCATCCTTTCATACCTCATGACCTTACTCTTGCAATTAAAAGCACATTTTTAAAGTCACCCACAATGTGTGGCATACCTGGCTTGGATTTGGGTCAATTTCAATTTTCTACCCCTTTCATTTTGAATAAATATAAAGGGTAATGAGACTTAATTAATATGTTCAAATATATGTAAATGACAAGCATTGAGCAACTTTCATTAAGTGTTACATCATCATCATCACCATCATTTTCTCATCCTTTCCAAACCTAGAATTTTTAGACTACTCAAATGCCATGTATCTCCAGTTTGGGACCAGGACCACAGGATTCCACTTGGCTGTGCAGTCAGAAGGGAGAGTGAGTGAGGCCTGAAGCTGTAGAGCAGTACTTTTCAAATAGAATCACTGGAAGGAACTTGATACTTCTCATACCTAGGACGGGCCAACTAAATCAGGACCCTGGGGTGAAACTTTGAAACCAATATTAAAGATCCCTAGGTACTTCTACTCTGCAGCCAAGGTTGAGAATCACTGTTTTACAAACAGCCCGTGTTTCTGTTAAGTCTACTAGAAGCAATTTAAGAGCTCCTTTCTGCCCTCTGAAAGACAGTGATTTGCTTCATGGCAGCAGGTTTTCCCAGTGAAATAAACAGCAAAATCAGAGAGAGACTGGACCATCTAGGAGTGGAAAGCAGCAGGTAGAGCACCTGGGCTTGAAGATTGGTTAAGACAGATTTCGTGTGCCTGAGTTTGACTCCCCACTCAGCCATTTGATAACTGTGTAGACTTCATCAAGTTATCCAGTGTCTATAAGATACAAGACCCTTTTTTGTAAAGTGAGGCTAAAAATAACAATGAGGTCACAGATGTGTAGTAAGGACTAAATGAAATACTTAACATATATCAGTTAACTTAGGTCATGTAGCATGCACTCTTTAGAGTATACAACCATTACTCTTATTATTATTATTAAGGAAGTGGAGGATCAGTTTGTCACATGGTCTTCTGATAGTTCCTCTGAAGTCACATGAAAAATGAGTAAAGGTAGAAAGTAGCAACTTTTAATTCATGTTATAATGTTTTATTTGACTTTATATCACCATTTGACATAGTAGGAAAAATCTAATTGAAATCATAACCCAGGATCAAAGGTATATGCTTTTCCAGGATATTCTCCAAGGCCCCATGCAACAATCAGATTTGCATCAAATCTTCCTATACTGGCTTTCAAATCATATCCTCTTAGAAATGGTAGGTGTTCAAAAATATTCAGTGCATTTCAGTAGGGGTATATCTTTCATCAGATTCAATGGTCTATATGGCTGGAACCTACATGCCTGGCATTGTCCTAGTTATCCCAGACTCCAGGGACAACCATACCCATTATTCATGGGCTCAGAGATATTACATAATATAGTCAAGGTTGTACTTCTAGTCAATGTCAGCTATCACATCTTAGCCCAGGTGGGGATGACTCAAAGTTGTACTATTTCCCATGCAATGCAAAGACGGGGTCAAGAGGAAGACAACTGGGCCATAAGAACAAAGAGGAGGACAGAAAGGAGGTAACATTCTGCTCCTGTGGCTTTATACTTTTCTTATCATTTCCCTTGTACCCAAGTGCCCTCCTGCTTCCTTTTCCAGTTATTCCTCTGGTGGTGGCAGTGCCATTCAATCTCACTGTCAGTGTCTCCCTCGCTTTTCTGTAAGAGAAAAAGATAAGCACATTTTCAAAAAGGAGCACAAAGGGAGCTTATACGTGTTAGTTGAATAATTATTAGAACTCACAGGCTCTATTAAAGATTTGGATAAGAGCCCTACACATGGGACTGGAGATAGAAGACTGGCTTGAAACTCCGTCTCCTGCATTGCCACTGTTTGCATAACCAACAGGACACTGTGTCAGTTTTGGATGAATTAGATTTTTCACAGCGAAGGTTAAGACAAGAACAAGGGATTATGGTATATTCTAATGAAGTACTGGACCCAGTGATTCTGCGTCAGTGCAGTTGAATAATTGCCTGCTTGTGGGGGTTTAGATGATTTGCCCAATTATACATGCTTTGGAAAAAACTAGACTGTATCAGTGGTGACTGCTATACAGCAATGAGTGAGAAATCGCTCATAAAAGCTGCACATTTTGATAGCTTCTGGCTCTCTGAAGTTTTCTGATTTGAAGCTCTAATCACTCCTGCTTATTCTTAACCATGAGTAAATTATTTGAGAAGTGTCAGACACATTTTACTCATCATGAAGATGTACATTTTTCTCCCAAATAAAAGGAAAATAAAACATTACTTTCAAATGGTAAAATAAAAAGCTTTAAAATAACTTGTTCTTAAAACTAGTTCTTAGCTTCATGCAAAATAGAGGAAGCTTTATAAAATAAAATAAAACAGATGTTATCAAATATTTGAATTTGCATCAGGTTACGAATAATTGAAATTTAGACTACATCTAAATTTAGATAAATTTATGTGTATTTCATCTTCAGAAAACTCCATGTTAATGTTTTGATGCTGTCACATTAATAGAATCGGAATCAGCCAATATCAAACATAATATAGCAGTAACTTTTCTAAAAATATGAGATTGTGTGTGTGCATGTGTGTACATATATATGGTAATGTATCATCACTACTAAAAGTATCTCTATAGTTTATAAGAATGAATGGGGCCGAGTGCCATGGCTTACACCTGTAATCCAGCACTTTGGGAGGGTGAGGCAGGCGGATCACGAGGTCAGGAGATAGAGACCATCCTGGCCAACATGGTGAAGCCCCATCTCTACTAAAAATACAAAATTAGCTGGGCGTGGTGGGATTACGTGCCTGTAATCCCAGTTACTCAGGAGGCTGAGGCAGGAGAATCACTTGAACCAGGGAGTCAGAGGTTGCAGTGAGCCGAGATCGCGCCACTGCACTCCAGCCTGACGACAGAGCAAGACTCTGTCTCAAAAAAAAAAAAAAAAAAAAAAAAAAAAAAAGTATGAATGAGGCACAGTGCATAACTCTAAAGGACTCACTGTCTCAGCTATTTGGGAATACTTTTTCAGTTTTGCACTACTTTTGAGGGCAGATGCTAGAATATAATGCAGAGGTTGAGGTTTGGTTTAGAGCAAATATCAGAACACATCATCACTCTAGACTGAAATAGGTAATGACAAAACTTCTTTTTGTTGTTGTTGTTGTTGTTGTTTTGAGACGGGAGTCTCGCTCTGTCGCCCAGGCTAGAGTGTAGTGACGCAATCTCGGCTCACTGCAAGCTCCGCCTCTCGGGTTCATGCCATTCTCCTGCCTCAGCCTCCCGAGTAGCTGGGACTACAGGTGCCTGCCACCACGCCTGGCTAATTTTTTGGATTTATAGTAGAGACAGGGTTTCACTGTGTTAGCCAGGATGGTCTCATCTCCTGACCTCATGATCCGCCTGCCTCGGCCTCCCAAAGTGCTGGAATTACAGGCGTGAGCCACCGTGCCCGGCCGACAATAATTCTTTATACTAATAAAATGTGGTATCCTTGGTTAAAGGACTTTAAAATAGAAAAAAATAATAATAATTTTACAAATAAAATTTTATCTGATCTTGAAAACAGTTTAAAAATCAGTCTAAGCATTTCATTGTTGTTGTTGCCATTTTGCATAGCAGAAATTGTAAGTGATATTTGTCCAAGGTCAAAGTGAGTTAGAAGCACCATCTGTTATCAAACCGTCTATTCCTTGTTCTAAAGTCTTAGCATTATGCGCTGCTATGTACCAAGTGCTCCTCAGTGCTTCAACATGTTTGTTGAAGAGAAAGTATTTGCATTTTTCATTCAATTGTTCATTCAAGAAATATTTACCACGTGACTTATCAATGCTAGTCATCACGTATACTCAGCAAAGTAGACAAAACTCCCTCCCTTTTTGGAATATACATTCTAATTTTAAAGACAAAATGACATTAATGAGCTCCTCCAGTAACCTAAAGTTGTTGGATTTGTTTCCTAAAATTATTAAGTGAATTTGATCCTCACATACTAATAAAACTGCCTATCCAAAAATTATAACAATGAGAAATTATGTCAGTGAAAGATAAATGATCTAATCAACTCCCATCTTGCCATTAGTATTCAAACTGCTCTTAATTATTCCTCAGCTTGGGCTGAGCTAATTTGGGGAGATATTTAGTTTACAGTTTAAATAATATCTTTTGCCAAAAATCAACCACCTTTGTAAAGCTAATGAGAGACCACCAGGCTAGGAGGATGAGAGCAGCCTGAATTCTGCTAAGCTGTAGACATAAACAATTACCCACCATTATTTCGGAGGTCACAAGATATGCAGCTTCCCCAGTTATTCCTGCAGATAACATCACTATTGCAGAACCTAAGACTGGCCTTTTGAGATGTCTTTTCAGGGTTTTTGTTTTGTTTTGCTTGGTTTTTCCATGTCTGATGACCAGTGGCTCCACCTGAACTTGCACACTGATGTCTCCACCTGGACCCACCAATCGCTCCTGTGCTCCCCCCTAGAAGCAACCTAGCCTGCATGAGGACCATTTCCCACACTTCTGTGATTGTACCCCAATGAATCAGCAGCCTCTCCAGCCCTCTTCTCTTTCCTTAAACTATCCTTGAAAAACCCAGGCCTCCAAATGTTCAGGGAGACTGATTTGAGTAATAATAAATCTCCAGTCTCCTGTTCATCCAGCTTTGCATGAATTAAGTTCTGTATTGCAATTCCCCTGTCTTTATAAATGGGCTCTGCCAGGGCAGCAGGCAAAATAAACACATTGGGCAGTTACACTAAGTGCTTCATGAAACATCCTATGGCTATTCTTGGACTAGGATTCTGAGGTTCTGGTTTCTCAATGTTGTATTACAACTTACTATGTGGCTTGTACTCTATTACTCTTGATATGAACATCAATATCTTTAAGAATACTATACAAACAATGCCACCTGTCAGGAGCTATATCATATTTCTGTTGAGAGGGTCTGGTGAACAGTAATTCCTTGAGGCACATTTTGATGAGTAAAGCATTACATTTATTTACTTTGCTTCCTTCCAATTCTTCCTATATTCTTAGCCCTTTCCTCATAACAATATTTTTTGTCCCTTTCCTTTTTCTTCCCTTTTTCTCTGATTTAAACCAGTCCTAGCCAAGAACACAGAGAAAGTGCAGTAGAACTTCATCGAACCTATCTCATGTTAGATGCTTTTAATGGACATATATCAATATCTGAAGTGTTACAGAAATCATAGTGTGGGTCCCATGTCCTTCAGATCAGTAATTTTGCCATTTAAATGTGTTAATTATTTTTGCATTATGCATCAGAGCGCCAGTTCCACTTTAGTATCTGCTTTTAGGACAGAAAAAAATGAAGAAAGTAGGATAGAAAAACACATCTATATAAGAATGGTATGTTTTGTGAAACAGTTTCATTTTTGTTAAGTTTATATCACCTGGGTTACTGGATAGCACAGGTAAAAATTTTGCACCAACCAGTTTTTGTTGCTGTTGTTTTTGGTTGTTAAAGTCTGTAAATATTTCCATGTATAGTATCTCTAAGGGTTCTGTAAATCTTAGATATTCATCTACTGTGTCTCACACTGGCAAAGCCTCATAAGTTATGGCCTTTTTACATTTCATATCTTCCCACTTTTGTATGATTATGTCACTGTTTTATTAGAGGTTTTGTAAATACCACTTATTAAAATATTATATAAGTAAAAGTCTTCAAACGTATAATCAGGGACTAATTTGATCAGGCAAAATAGACGTTTCTCCAGTGATGGAAGTGGCAGGATTTCTCACTGAATTCAATTTACTGGGTTCTGCATGTATCTCCGGTGTCTGCCAGGATTACAGGTCAGGGAAACTTATTTGATTTTGCATAACTATTCTTACCAATACTGCTACTTACTTACAGATAAACAAACATATAACTATTTGGAGCCTTGGCCTCTTTCAGAACACGTTTGAGAGAATGGCTCTATTTAATTTCCTGGGCTAGGCTACAACCAGTCAAAATGAACAGCATAATTTTAATTCATACACACATTCTCCCCAATGGCATTGTAACTTTCAGCTCACTGTCCAAATATTCACCTCTTTTTTACAAAGTTTGCCTCCTTCATGCAGCTTCACTCATAAAAGAGATAGATACAGTCCTCTCCAAGCAGCAATTCTTCCATAGTGTGTTCCCATGCTGATAAGTCAGCGTCAAGAGTTCAGAACCCAAGGCATTCTCAGGGCTGGATCATTTAAGGCAGAACAACATATCAATTTGTAGACAAAAGCAACCCAGGAGACAAGTGCTGACCATCGGGACTGAGTATTTCTGCAGTAATAAGGCAGTTGACAAGGCTGCCTTCTCAGCAGGGAAACTGAAAAAGTGGTCACTAATTGCTCTGTTCTAGTAAGCATCCTTTCCTGCCAAAAAAAAAAAAAAAAAATGTTACATAGCTTCCTACAGATGTGCATGCCAAATCCCCTTGCCTCAAGTTTTTCTTGCTGTCTTCCAATACTTTCCCAGATAATTCAGATAATTTACCTATTTCTAATTAGGGGAATGCTTATTTTGAACTTGTCATCACATTCTAGATGACAGTGAAGAGAGTGAAATGTTTTTCTTTCTTTTTCATTGTAGATAATCAGAATAGTACTATACTTTAAGAGAAAGGTTTTATCAAATATGTCTGTATTGGGTGGGTACTTCTTTATTTTTTCCTACCCAAGTGTCAAATGCATGAAATTACGAGGAGCTCATCCTGAAAAATGACCAAACTCTCTGGGGGAGAAATAGAAACATTTCATTTTCCTGCACATCTGTTGAAAAAGAGACTCTTTGAGATCAATGAAAGTTCCTTAATGATTTGTTCTCTCAAAGCTTCTTTTCCTAATCCTTCATAAAATGCTGCTAGAAAACCACTGTCTCCTTAGAGTGTCCCCAGAAGACAGTCTTTTAAAAATACATTCAGAATTAACACCACACATCTACAACCATCTGATCTTTGACAAACCTGACAAAAACAAGCAATGGGGAAACTATTCCCTATTTAATAAATGGTGTTGGGAAAACTGGCTAGCCATATGCAGAAAACTGAAACTGGATGCCTTCCTTACACCTTATACAAAAATTAACTCAAGATGGATTAAAGATTTAAACCTAAGACCTAAAACCATAAAAACCCTAGAAGAAAACCTAGGCAGTACCCTTCAGGACATGGGCATGGACGAAGACTTCATGACTAAAACACCAAAAGCAATGGCAATAAGAGCCAAAATTGACAAATGGGATCTAATTAAACTAAAGAGCTTCTGCACAGCAAAAGAAACTATCATCAGAGTGAACAGGCAACCTACAGAATGGGAGAAAATTTTTGCAATCTATCCATCTGACAAAGGGCTAATATCCAGAATCTACAAGGAACTTAAACAAATTTACAAGAAAAAAACAAATGGTCCCATAAAAAAGTGGACGAAGTATATGAACAGGAACTTTTCAAAAGAAGACATTTATGTGGCCAACAAACATACGAAAAAAAGCTCATCATCAATGGTCATTAGAGAAATGGAAATCAAAACCACAGTGAGATACCATCTCACGCCAGTTAGAATGGTGATCATTAAAAAGTCAGGAAACAACAGATGCTGGAGAGGATCTGGAGAAATAGAAACAAACACTTTTACACTGTTGATGGAAGTGTAAATTAGTTCAACCATTGTGGAAGACAGTGTGGCAATTCCTCAAGGATCTAGAACTAGAAATACCGTTTGACCTGGCAATCCAATTAGTGGGTATATTCCCAAAGGATTATAAATCACTCTACTATAAAGACACATGCACACGTATGTTTATTGCAGCACTATTCACAATAGCAAAGACTTGGAAACAACCCAAATGTCCATCAATATTACACTGGATAAAGAAAATGTGGCCCATATACACCATGGAATACTATGCAGCCATAAGAAAGGATGAGTTCATGTCATTTGCAGGGACATGGATGAAGCTGGAAACCACCATTCTCAGCAAACTACACAGGAACAGAAAACCAAACACTGCATGTTCTCACTCATAGTGGGAGTTGAACAATGAGAACACATGGGCACAGGGAGGGGAACATCACACCCTGGGGCCTGTCAGAGGGTGGGGGGCAAGGGGAGGGATAGCAGGAGGAATACCTAATGTAGATGACGGATTGATGGGTGCAACAAACCACCATGGTACATGTATACCTATGTAACAAACCTGCACGTTCTGCACATGTATCCCAAAACTTAAAGTATAATTATATATATATATTTTTTTAACAGAATGTGTCATAAATATAAATAGTCCTCCTGAGAAAATAGTGAAAGGCATAGTCTCCACTTAACCAATATATAGAGTGAATTCTCAATTCACTCAGTTGTTAATATAGCAATTCTTTCTAAATTACCCTGTAAATTCAATGTGACTTTAATCAAAATCACATTTTTAATGCAACTAAATGAGTTTACCATAAAATTTAAATGAAAAATGAAAAGGTTACAAATAACAAGAGTATTTTAAAAAGACCAATGTGAAATCAGTTTTTCTACCAGATAAATAGATTTTATGTCTAATTTAAAACTATAATGATTAAGAGATGTTAGTTGGGATGCTAGAGAATAGATGTCAAAACACAGACTATATGAACTAAAACCAGACCCCATAAAATAAGCCAAAAGATTTATAAAAACTAGATTTGGGACATAATACTGTAGATCAATAATTAAAAGATTGGCTCAATATGTAGTGTTGGAATAAATTATTATTTACATAAAAAGTAAAATTAGCAGTTCACATGCAATTCTAGGTATACTAAAGATGTAAATTTCAAAAGTAAAATCTTGAATTTTTAGAAAAATATCTATAAAAATAAAAGTTATTACCTTAGTGTACAAAGCCAATTCTTAGATAAGACCAAAAAAGCATAAAACATTAAAGATTGAAAATTTTGTTTATGTCAAAAGTGAAATTTGTACAAAATCCAAAGCAGATAAAAGACAAGGTACAGACTGGTATAAGATACTTGTAACACATGTAACTGAAATAAAGTAGAAAATTTGTAATAATGGATAAGACTCTATAGGAGAGAATAAACATCTTATTAGAAAAATGGGCAAGTATAATTCACAGAAGAGAAAATCTGAAAGACTAATATGCTTAGAAAAGTGATCAGTCACAATAGTAATCAATGAAATACAACCTAAAACAAAATGTATCCCAGTTTTGTTTAATTAAATGGATAATTATCTAATTATCAATTCTTTATGCACACCTCTGCATGGCCATATTATATATAATATATATAATATATTGTATATTATTCATATATATTCTTTTAAATAATGTGATGATGCTAATGTTTTCAGGTAGGTGAAGATATCTCTCTCTTTAGGGTGATCAAATACAACAATTTGCCTCGTGGAACAGAGGAATATTTCAGACAAACCAAAACTGGTTGGCACCTTAGTGAGTGTAAGTTACTATGACAACTTGGGAGGCCAACATTGCAATACTTAGTATCCCACATGGTATATTACTTGTAAAAAAAAAAAAAAAAAAAAAAAAAGAGAATGAAAATAGCAAATGTTCAGCAAAAGAAAAATGAATAAATTTTGATATAGTTATATAATATATAATTACATATAATACAATGGCCAGTAAAGTTGAATAGTGATCCCCACACTTTGATGTGTATCAGAATAGCCTACAAAGCTTATAAGAAACACAGAGACCTGAGCTTATTCCAGTAAGACAGGACTTTGGACTTTGTAGTTTTTCCAGGTTTCCCAGGTGATTCTAATACCCACCAATATGTAAGAATCACCAAATTGAGATATATTTATCAGAAAAGATAAATTTCTAAACTGAATAATGGGAAGGAGTAGCAAGTTGCAGAGTGGCATATAAAACATGATTTAATGTATTTAAGCTTTAAAATCTTCCAATACAAGACTACATTATGTTTAGGGATATATAAACATGTATTAAATATTAAAACATGCATGAGTATGATAAACATTAAATTCATATTTGTGATTACCTTTGGAGAGGGTAATAGAACCAGAGGCTTTGTTTTCAGAGGGCTTTGATTGTATCTCAAATATATACATTTTTTTAAATGATGGAACTACAGTAAACATACCATAATGTTAAGATTCATTGTAGTCTGAAGTTGGATATTTGTGTTTGTGAAATATTTCACAAAATGGCTGGGCGTGGTGGCTCACGCCTGTAATCCCAGCTGTTTGGGTGGCCAAGCGGGGAGGATCATGAGGTCAGGAAATCAAAACCATCCTGGCCAACATGGTGAAACCCCGTCTCTACTAAAAATACAAAAATTTGCTGAGCGTGTTGGTGTGTTCCTGTAATCCCAGCTACTCTAGAGGCTGAGGCAGGACAATCACTGGAACCAGGGAGTCGGAGGTTGCAGTGAGCCGAGATTGTGCCACTGCATTCCAGCCTGGCGACAGAGTGAGACTTCGTCAAAAAAAAAAAAAAAAGAAAGAAAAATATTTCACAAAATAAATTTGATAATATAAAAGTTTGAATATATTATAATCTCAATTTTGTCAAAACATTTAATATTTTATAAATTTATAAGAGTGACATAGCTATAGATTGTCATTATCTACCTCTTCATGTATATGTAATTAATTACTGAAAAATCTCCTTGGGCTAAGGACTGAGGCAGGGCAATATAATTATGGTAATTTTTATTGCCGTCTGTTTTATTTCTCTATTTGAATAAGAAATATAATTAACACAATTCGTTAATAGCATATGACTGGCTAATTTGCAGACACAGTTTTCAGATTAGCTTAGGTGACCAAATATCACTTTTGCTATTTTTCTGGTTTCTTGTAGATAATATAATAAGTAGAGCTCATGGAGTGTTCTAGCAATTGTATTCATTCTTTGTAGCTAAACTATTTTATCACTAAAGAGTGTACATGTACATGCACACTAGATAGTGCAAATAGGAGGGAATACAGAAAAACTACCCTTTAATCATCATTTGTCTTTGATTAGTACTCTTCTAACATTGAGGGAATGGGAAAACTGAACCATATATGTTGATTTTCATCATTAGTTATACAGCATATGGGACATTACTCAACAAATGGGCTTAATTTGAAAGTAAATCAAACAGGTAGAATATGTCTTAATACTGCCTCATCTTTGCTGACTGTAGTGGCGTTCCCTAACAAATGCCACCACTTATAGAAAAGCTGACAGGAAGAGTTACAAATTAGGTTTTGCAAAGTCCATTGAAGTAATCTGGCTACAGTGTGGTGTGCACAGCTTAGAAAGTTGCAACAAACACAAAAACTTCTCATCAATTATTCAGAAAGGTCATTTTAGATGAGTTTTTGCAGGCTGATGGAAAAAAAATTGCTTTCAACTGTCAGTTTGATATAAATTGAAGTTTCAATAATAGGGAACTGTATATCTGTTGCAATTTGTACCTTTTTTTAATTTTTAAGGAAAAAAACTTCCATAGTATAAAAAATATTGTTACAACAACTGGATGCTGAAGCAGGAAAATTGATAAAGTGTCCAGAGTGATAAAGGAAGTTTACATTTGTTTGGTTGTACTGGCTTGTGGTTTTGGCTTTGGCTTTTACTTTAGCGTGAGTTTGGGTTGCTTGGCTTGTTTATTTTTTTGCAGATGTGAAGGTTTATGATATGTGTTTCCAGACTCTTCAGCCCTTTTGGGTCCTGGACTTTTTTGATAGGGCAAATATAGCCTTGTTAGAAAACAGCAGGGATGGGAAGGCAAGACAAAAATTGCATGAATCATCAGAGGAAAACAGCTAAAAATAACTTCATGTTCAGAATTTATCTGACTCTGTATACCCCTTTTCAAGAAATCCTAGAAGTGAGAGTCAGGGAAGCACTGAGAATATACAATCCAGTCATAGAACAATGTTTCCAGTTGGAGAAATTCTGGAAAAATTGTGTAGGTAATGGTGTTACACAATGTACAATGGAACAAGAAGAGGCCTTTTAGAATTTACTAATGAATTGGTTAAGGTTGTTATATGATCTTGAATCGGATTCATGAAAAGAAACATCATATTAAGGGTACAGAAATAAATGCTTGAATGATGATGTTTCTAAGATCTTAGCATTAGCAAAACTTTTTATAAGCTGTCATTTACTCTTAAATAGGAAATAAATACCACTTATTCTTATTAAATAAAAAGCAACACTACCCACAGTTCATGCTACATATTATTATTATTATTTTTAAATCCCACTGGAATAGTGGAGATACTGGATCCTAGGATTGGGGTATGAAGAACAATGCAGTCATGTATAAGAAAATATGGCAGTGTGTTATAAGATTTTTGTTAGAAATGCCAGAAATTAAATTGTATTTGAGAAAATTGTGGAAAATGAGTAATTTCTTAAAACATCTTTACGTGACTACACAGCTTTAAAATATAAATGGTATAACTTCTTGGTTCAGGAAGCTGTCATTAATTTAACAAATACAAAGCCAGTGAGCTTAGATATACTGGGTAATCTGCAGGATACATCAGATGGAAATGTGTGCTTTCAGGGAGATCAAGCCCAGAATGGAAGCCAAGGCTCACTGGGAAGATCTCTTGCTCTCTCTTCCATGCTCCCCTTGTCAATCTGGGAGACAGGCAATTTAGGATAATGTGGTAATGTATCCATTAGGATAGTGGAAGGGAAAAATATAGATTATTTGTTTGCTTGTTTAAATAAGTGAATTGTATAAATAATCTGTTTTCCCTTTGCTTTCAATACTGTTACTTTTTTTAAGTTCAAAAATATGAACACATCCCCAAATTAACACCTATCTCACCTTATTTGCTACTTTAATAAGTCTTTGAAAAAATTTTGTAAATCATTTGCTTTCAAAATCATTTGGCAGAAACCTCTGTTGGAAGGAATGCTAAAAACCTCATGGGAACTCTGGATTTTGTAACAGTGTGAGAGCTATAGCAATATTTAAACACTACTGGAAACCTTCTGAAAAAGCAAAAAGGAAGGAATGCTTCTTTCTACCCTATTTTAATTGTGTTATCTAATAAACTACGTGTGTGTGCCAAGATTTGAACTTGTCTATCATTTCTTTTTTTTTTTTTTTTTTTTTTTTGCACAGTGTCTTGCTCTGTCGCCTAGGCTGAAGTGCAGTGGCATGATCTCGGCTCACTGCAACCTCCACCTCCCTGGTTCAAGCAATTCCCCTGCCTCAGCCTCCTGAGTAGCTGGGATTACAGGTGCACACCATGCCCAGCTAATTTTTTTGTATTTTTAGTAGTGATGGGGTTTCACCATGTTGGCCAGACTGCTTTCGAACTCCTGACCTCAGGCAATCCGCCTGCCTTGGCCTCCCAAACTGCTGGGATTACAGGTGTGAGCCATCATACCCGGCCTGTTGTTTCTTTTCACTAATGCAGAAGAAAATAGTCAGCTGTTTTTCTTCAACAAATTAAGTTAAATTTCTTCACCTTTTAATGGGATTGAGTCATAGTTGCTTTTCCTAGCGGTAGTAGATTTATAGTCCTTTCCAAATACATGTGTTATTTTTAAATGGTTTGACTCTAGTTAATAACATGGAGAACTGAGCTGAAGAAGAATCTGACATTAAATGGAGTTTTCATTCATGTTTAAATTATATGTTCATTAACACTTAACTACTGAAAGAGATGAGCTGCCCTAATGGATTCCCAAAGTTAATCAATAAGTAGCATAACAATAGTGGTTCTCAGCCCTGGCTGCACATTACAATCACCTGGAAAATATTTTAAACTAGTCAAGTTGAAGTCCATCCAAGACCACGTAAATTAGGATGTTTGAGAGTGAAGTCTAAACATCAGTACATTTTCTGTGATTCTAATGTGCCATCCATTTTGAGAAATCTTGGTACAAAAGAGTATTCCCAAATATGTGCTCTGTATTCCTCCCACATCAGCATTATCTGGGGTGCTGGTACCAACTCAGATATACTGAATCAAAATATGGTGGTCAGGAATGACACCACTGACATGGTGGAATAAGAAGCCTCAGACCCTTTCTTTCCATGGAAACACTGAATTAACAGCAATATACAGATCAAACGGCCTTTCTGAGAACTCTAGAAACCAATTAAGGGATTATAGCACCCCAGAAGAGTACACAGGCAAAAAGAAACTCATCAAATTGGGTTTGGAAAAGTTTGTTACACTTACTCACAATAGCGCCTTCCCTTAGCAACCTCCCAACTCATGGCTTCTTCATTAAGAGGGAAATAGAAGAGGAGAACCTACATCCAACATTTTGTCTTTCCAGAAGTCTTCCCAAGGGACTGGCGTCTGTCTTGTTTGATGTAGAGTGCTAACAGAAACTGGCAAAATATTGATGCTGGTGGGACTGCTGAGAACAAAGATGCTGGTGGGACTGCTGAGAACAAAGGTGAGGGTAGTAGCTTGTTGCAGCATCAGAGACTACATTACTCTAAAAAGACACTATAGGAAGCAAAAGATTGTGAACAACTAAAAACAATAGGGGAAAACTCTTTAGCTGGGAAATTACAGCACAAACCAAAAGAAGATGCATTCCCGGATAACTTTTGAGAGAACCCCATCATCTCTAGCAGGTCTGATTGGTGAAAGTCTTCCCATATATAAAACCAATAACTAAAAACTGGGAGAGGTGGCTATTTTCTTCAAAGGCACAAATTTGAACAAAGGACAATGAGGCTTACAAAGAAACAGGCAAGCATGAGCCACTTATAAGACCAAAATAGATCTCTAGAAGCAAACCCTAAAGAATTTCAGATCTATAAATTATTTGACAAAGAATTCAAAGTAACTGCTTTAAAGATGTTCAATGAGCTAAAAGTAAACACAGATAGACAATAAAATAAAATATATGCATAAAAAACTGAGAATATCAACAGAGATAGAAACCGTAAAAAAGAAACAAGCAGAAACTTTCGAAGTGAAGCATAGAGTTACTGAATTGAAAAATTTACTAGAGGGCTTTAATGGCAGTCGTGAACAAACAGAGGAATGAATTACCAAACTTGAAGACAGATAATTTGAAATTATTGAGGCAGAGAACCAAAAAAAAAAAAAAGAAACAACAACAACAACAATAAAAAACAGAAAAAAAAAACAAAACAAGAAAAAGAAATAGAAAAAAGAAAAAGATAATCTAAGAAACTATGGGACACCAGCAAGTGGACCATTATATGCATTATGTCAGCTTAAGAAATAAGAGGTAGGCCAGGTGTGGTGGCTCACCCGGTAATCGTAGTGCTTTGGGAAGCTGAGGCAGATGGATTGCTTGGGCCCAGGAGTTAGAGACCAGCCTGGACAACATGGTGAAATCCCATCTCTACAAAAAATACAAAACTAGCCAGGTGTGGTGGTGCGTGCCTGTAGTCCCATTTACTTGGTGGGCTGAGGGAGGAAGATTGCTTGAGCCTGGTAGGTGGTTGAGGCTGCAGTGAGCAGAGATCCTGCCACTGCACTCCAGCCTGGGCAACAGAAGGAAACCCTGTCTCAAAAAAAAAAAAAAAGAAAAAAAGAAATGAAGGTAAAATGAAGCCTATACCAAGACATATTACAATCAAGCTGTCAAAAGTTGGTGACAAAAACAAAATGTTGAATGCATCAAGAGAAAAGAGACAAATGATTCATTACATATAAGGGAGCTTGCATAAGATTATGACTGGATTTATCAGCAGAAACATTGCAGGCCAGATTGGAGTAGAATGATATATCCAAAGTGCTGAAAGAAAAAACAAAACAAAAAACTGTCAACCAGGAAATATGTATTTTACAAAACTGTCCTTCAAAATGATTAAGAAATTAAGGCTTGTCTAGATGAATAAAAACTAAGGAAGTTTACCACCACTGGTCCTGCCCTACAGGAAATGCTAAAGGGAGTCCTTCAAATTTAAATCAAAGTTTGTGAGACAGCAACAAAAAAACATGAACAAATGCATGACTTCCTAGTGAAAGTAAATGTGTAAACAAGTATAGAATCTTGTAGCATTACAACATTGGTGTATGCATCATTGTTCATTCTGGTATAGAACTTAAAAGACAAAAGCATAGAAATAACAAATTAATAGATACACAATATGAGCAGATGCAATTTGTAATATCAGTAAAATAAAAGGAGGGGCATAGATATAAACAAGTACACTTTTTGTATGTGATTGAAATTAAATTGTTATCAGTTTATAATAGACTGCTATATCTGTAAAAGATACACAAAAAGGAATATGAAAAGAATCAGATTATGCTACTACAAAAACTCAGTGAAATTCAAACAAGGCAGCAAGACAGAGGAAAAAATAGATTTAAATAGATTTTAAAAATGCAAAATGGTAATAGTAAGTTCTTCCCTACCAGTAATTATAATATCTTAAATTTAAATACAAAAATAGTTGAGGAATTCAACACCACACTCTCAGCATTGAACAGATCATCTAGACAAAAGATCAATAATAAGAAAAACAACACTGGATTAAAAGTGTACCATAGACCACAGGGACCTAACAGACATTTAGAGAATATTTTCCTCAATAGATGCAGAAAACACATTTATTTCATTAGCACATAGAAGCCTCAACATTTAAGAAAAATAATAAAATCATATCAACTATCTTCTCAGGTCCCTGTAGAAGAAATCTAGAGATTAATAACAACAGGAACATATGTAACTATGCAAATACATTGAAATTAAACAACATGCCCCAGAATGACCAATGTGTGAAGAAATCAATTAAGAATGAAATTTTAAAATGCCTTTAAACAAATGAAAATAGAAACATAACATGCCAAAGCCTATGGGGCAAACAAAAGCAATATTAAGAGGCAAGTTTATAGTAAAAAAATACATCAAAAAACTAGAAAGATTTCAAATAAGTAACAATGCACCTCAAAGAACTGGAAAAGCAATAACAAACCAAGTCAAAATTAGTAGAAAAAAGAAATAATCAAGATTAGAGCAGAAATACACAAAATTGAGAAAAAAAGATACAAAAGATCAATGAAACAAAAAGTTATTTTTCTGAAAAGATAAATAATATTGACACATTTTTAGCTAGACAAAAGTTTAAAAAAAGAGAGAAGACCCAAATAAACAAAATCAGAAACGAAAATAGAGATATCACTATGGATACCACAGAAACACAAAATATCATTAGAAATGACTATGAACAATGAATGATTATCGATCAATAAATTCAAAAGCCTAGATGAAATGGATAAATTCTTGGACACATACAACCTACCAAGATTGAAGCAAGAAGAAATAGAAAATCTGAACAGACTAATAAAAAGTAACTTGATTGAATCAGTAATAAAAAATTTTAAAACAAAAAAAATCTCCAAGACTAGATGGTTTTACCAATGAATTACACTGAACCATTAAAAAAGAAATAATACCAATTATTCTCAAACTATTACAAAAAGTTGAAGCACAGATAATTCTTAACTCCTTATATGAGGCCAGCATAACCCTAATATGAAAACCAGACAAGGACACAATAAAAACAGAAAACTACAGGACAATACTCCTAATGAACACAGACAAAAAAATCCTCAACAAAATACTAGCAAACCAAATGCAACAGTACATCAAAAAGATAATACATCATAATCAAGTGGGTTTTACTCCAGAGATTTAAGGATGATTCAACATATAAAAATTAATAATGTGATGCATCGCATCAACAGAATAAAGGTCAAAACCTATGGTATCACCTTAATAGATGCAGAAAAAGCATTTGATAAATTTCAACATCATTTTATGATAAAAATTCTCAATAAATTAGATATAGAAAAAATATCTCAATAAAATAAAGGCCATATATTACATGTATTTAAGTTAGTATGATGAGCTAATATCATACTGAAAAGGGAAAAGTTTAAAACTTTTCCTCTAGAAACTAGAACAAGACAAGGATGCCCACTTTCACCATTCCTATTCAATATAGTACCAGAAGTCTCAGCAAAAGCAATAAGACAAGATAAAGAAACAAAGGGCATCCAAATGGGAAATGGGAAATGGGAAAGTCAAATTGTTCCTCTCTGCAGATGACATGATCTAATAAATTAAAAACCTAAAAACTCTACCAAGGAACTCTTAGAACTGATAAAAGAATTTAGTAAAGTTGCAGAATACAAAGTCAACATAGAAAAATCATTAGCATTTCTATAAATAAACAAAATACTCACTGAAACTGAATTCCAGAGGGCAATCCCAATTACAATAGCTACGAAAAAATATGCAGGACTACATTTAACCAAGGAGGTGAAAGATTTCCACAAGAAAAACCAGAAAACACTGACAAAAGAAATTGGAGAAGATGTAAAGCAATGAAAAGACATTCCATGCTCATGGATCAAATAATTAATACTGTTAAAGTGACCATATTACCCAAAGCGACCTAGAGATTCAATGCAATCCCTATCAAAGTACCAATGAAATTCTTCAAAGAAATAAAAAAATTCTAAAATTCTTATGGATTCATAAAAGACTTCAAATAGCCAAAGAAATTCTGAGCAAAAAAGAAGAAAATGGGAAACCTCACACTACCTGACTTAAAAATATACCATAAAGCTATAGTAACCCAAACAGCATGGTACTGGCATAACAACTAAAACATAGACCAATAGAACAGAATGTGGAACCCAGAAGTTAATTCACATATCTACTGCCCCAGGATTTTTGACAAATGCACCAAGAATACTCAATGAAGAAAGGGCAGTACTTTCAACAAATGATGCTGTAAATCATCTTATCTTATGAATAAATTATCTTATGGATAAATGATATCCAGAAGAAGAATAAACCTAGACTTCCACCTCTCACTCTATACAAAAATCAACTTCATATGGATCAACGATCTAAATATAAACCACAAAATCAAATTCTACTACAAGAAAACATAAAGGAAATATGTCAGGACATTGGTCTGGGAAAAGATTTTATGAAAAATGTCAAATGCACTGGTATCAAAAACAAAATAAACAAATGGACTTACATTAAGCCAAAAATCTTCTGCACAGCAAAGGAAACAAACAGAGTGAAAAGATAACCTAAAGAATGGATGAAAAGGCCTGGCGCAATGGCTGGCACCCATAATCCCAGCACTTTGGGAGGCTGAGGCAGGTGGATCATGAGGTCAGGAGTTCGAGACCAGGCTGGCCAACATGGTGAAACCCAATCTCTATTAAAGATACAAAAAATTATCTGAGTGTGTTGATGCAGACTTGTAATCCCAGCTACTCGGGTGGCTGAGGAAGGAGAATTGCTTGAACCCGGGAGTCAGAGGTTGCAGTGAGCTGAGATCGCGCCATTGCACTCCAGACTAAGAAACTATGAGATTCCCTTTAAAAAAAAAAAAAAAAGGAATGGGTGAAAATATTTGTAAACTATGCATCTGAAAGGTGGTTAATATCCAGAATACACAGGAAACTCAAACATCTCAACAACAACAACAAAATTCAATTAAAAATGGTCTAATAATCTGAATAGACAATTCTCAAAAGAAGACATACAGGCTGGGCACCATCGTAATCCTAGCATTTTGAGAGGCTGAGGCAGCTGGATCACTTGAGGTCAGGAGTTTGAGACCAGCCTGGCCAACATGGCAAAACGCTGTCTCTACTAAAAATATAAAAATTAGCCAAGCATGGTGGTGCATGCCTGTAATTTTAGCTACTCAGGATGCTGAGGCATGAGAATTATTTGAACCTGGGAAGCAGAGGTTGCAGTGAGCTGAGATCATGACACTGCACTCCAGCCTGGATGACAGAGCCAGATTCTGTCTCAAAAAAAATATATATATATATATACACAAAAGGCCACCAAAATATGAAAAATGCTTAATATCACTAATCATCAAGAAAATGCAAATCAAAATCACAATGAGGTATCATCTCATGCATTAGGATGGTTATTATCAAAAAGATAAAAATTAACAAATGCTGGTAGGATATGGAGAAAAGGGAACTCTTAATGCACTTTGGTGAGAATGTAAACTTGTATGACCATTCTGGAGAATAGTATGGAGGTTCTTCCAACAACTACAAATAGAACTACCATATGATTCAGCAATCCTGCTACTGGGCATTTATCCAAAGGAACAGAAATGAAGATACATCCACACCTCCATGTTTATTGCAGCACTATTTACAATAGCCAAGATACGGATTAACCTAGATGTCAACAACAGATGAATAGATAAAGAAAATATGGTATATATATACTATGAAATACTATTCAGACATAAAAAGAATAAAATCTTGTCATTCCTGGCAACATGGATGAAACTAGCAGACATTAGACTAAATGAAAGCCAGAAACAGAAAGTTAAACACTGCATGTTCATATTCATACGTGGAAGCTTAAAAATGTTAATCTTATAGAAATAAAAAGCAGAACAGAGTATATTAATATTAGAGGTTGGGAAGGGTAAGAGGAAGGGAAACATAGGGAGAGATATGTTAAAGGACACACAATTATACTAAATAGGATTAATAAATTCTAATGTTCTATAACACAGTAGGGTGACTATAATTAACAATAATAGATAGTTTCAAATAGCTAAAAGGAGGATATTAAATGCTCCTAACACACACAAACACAAAGTTTGAGATGATGGATATGCTAATTACCCTAATCTGCTTATACACTATATGTATCAAAACAGCAATAGG